>NC_000012.12:41702552-41854067 GCF_000001405.40 Homo sapiens | reverse complement strand
ACCACTACTTTTTAACTCAGGTACTATTGCTTAAAAATACCTACAGGATTCTAATACTCAGCCATAAAAAGGAACGAAATAATGACATTTCAGCAACTTGGATGGGGTTGGAGACCATTATTCTAAGTGAAGTAACTTAGGAATAGTAAGCTAATTATTGTATGTTCCCACTTATAAGTGGAGCTAAGCTATGAGGACACAAAGGCATAAGAATGATATAATGGAGTTTGGGGACCCTGCGGTTGGGGGGAAGGTTGGGAGGAAGTGAGGACTACATATTGAGTACAGTGTACATTGCTTGGGTGACGGGTGCACCAAAATCTCAGAAATCACCACTAAAAAACTTATCCATGTAACCAAAACCACCTGTTCCCCCAAGACTGTTGAAATACAACAAGAAAAAAATAAAATTTCACTGTAATCTTCAAAGGCTTTTTATTATGGTAAACAGTATGGGGGCTTCTGAATAGAACAGAGAGAGGTTGATTAACAGGTACAAAATTACACTAGAGGGAAACAAGCTCTGGCATTCTTTAGCACTGTAGGGAGAATATGGTTAGCTATAATTTATTGTATATTTTCAAAAGGCTAGAAAAGTTGAATCTTCCCAACACAAAGAAATGATAAATATTTGAGGTGATGGGTAAGTTCATTATATGTTGTATACACATATCAAAATATTACTCTATATCCCATAAATATGTAGAATCATTATGTGTTAACTAAAAATAGAAGGGGAAAAAAATAAAAACAACCCCTACACAATCCTCACCTAGAAATTTTCTTAACTAATGCCACTTATCCAGCTCAGCTCACCTGTCTAATTTCTTTACTAACGGATGCCTCCGGTATGCTGCATGGGGGAGGCTAGTAGGCTCCACTCTCACAGATGGTTTCTTACAACAAGAGTCAATTTTGTTTGTTTTAAAATTTGTTTGTGTCCATTGTGCTTATTATTAGAAATATGGTATTTAAATAGTACAAAAATATCATGATACCAAAATATCATAAAAATATTATGAAAGTGAGGCAAACAGTGTTTTTGTTAAATAACTTAATGCAGAAGAAAAACTTAAAGATGAGTCAATACAAAAAAACATATATTGGATAAGATGTAGGCAAAACCCTGTGAAAGGTTGCATTGTACTCAGGAGCTTGGCAAGTATCTTGATATTCTTGCTATACTTTCAGTGAAGCTAAACTGTCAGTTATTAACATGCATTCTGGGTGTGGTTTGTTTAGGAGTGATGCAGAGCTATAATTAGAAGGACCACCTAGTATCAGTCTCATTTTATCAGATGAGATAGCTTCTATCATATTCAACTGAGCACAGGCAGCCTAGGGGACAAGGTAACACAAAATGTACCCTTTTGTTATCTCACACACAATGAATCTTCCTTCTCTTTCTGGTGGAAAGAATCGAAAGTTTTTTTTTTTTTCCACCACTGGATGGCCATTTACATAGTGTAGTGAACAATGAATTTATGCCATGCAGCAGAGAGAAGTTAATTTTCTTCAACCACCATGAATTCCAACTAAGTGTTGGTTGAATGAATTAAGGCTGTACAAACAGGAAAATTTGTTCACAGTAAGGCCCAGTTCCTGTATTGGATGACAATTATTTCAAAGGGATTACATTCAATTGGTATTAAGAGAGTGAAAGTTGAAGACGATTGAGCTGGCCAACTTCATCAGCAGAGCCCTGAGAGAAGGGTTGCAGAATGGGATGGGGGGCAATACAGGTTGTGGTATAATTTATTTTTGTACTGTAAAAGTAGCAGAAAAACACTTCCTAGTCAAGTGGATGTTATGCAGTGTTACCATTGGTATCGATCATCGCCAAGTCCTGGACCATCCTATGTGTTGAGTGATTACAGAGTTTCAGAATTGGCTTATTTGATGCTATATAGTTGCCAAATAAAATGTTCTTGTTGGAGAACATTCAGAAAAATGAAGATCATAATATAAAAATGACCTCTGACCTCACTACCTGGAAGGACAACTATTAAAGTGTTGTTATTAGTCCTTACAGTCTTTTTTTCCCCCCGTTTAACCCATTTACTGGTCATTCTATAATGATTTCCTAATGATGAGAGCAAAGTTTTATTCATTCTAGCTGTTCCCAATGCAAGGAAATACCACTAGTTTCCTACCTCTAACTCTTATACCTACCTACTTTTTGCCATCCCTAAAACCCAATCACTTTCTCTTCACGGCCCCTACACTCTTGCACACAGCCCAGTTGTCTGTTCCTTGGCTTACTTTCCCAGTCTACATTCCCAGATGTCTTTTTTCACTTAGCTTATTTTGCCTCACTAGATTGACTTATTCTTCCTGGCATACAGGTTGTATTCCATCCATCCTATAATCCTTGTTAGGATCTGTAGAGTTGAGACCACGACCACTGTTTTCTCATAATTTTTCTCTGTCCAAAGCAGCTGACTGCAGACGCTGAGGGTCTCATTGCACTCCTTAGACAAGAAGCTAGGAAGTCAGGAAAGGTGGATGCTAACACTGAGGGAGGGGGCATTCTGTGGTCACCACTGGAAAGAGTATGATGTTGAAGACATAACAGGACAGGCACAACTTGAACTTCATCTCACAGTTTTGAGTGTTGAATGAAGTTCATTTTTGTACCTTATGGCACTCATGTTTTATGTTGTCCTCCACAAGGGGATATTTAAGAGGAATGTTCATAGGAATGGGAGATCATGGTTGTATTAATTATTTGGCTGCAAGTTACAGAAAATGATGCTGGCTATTTTAAGCAAAAATGAAATTCCTTAGAAAGAGATATCACAAGATTGACAGGAAGAATGAAGAACCAGGCCTGGGAGTTGCAAGGTAAGAGGAGCTGCACTGGGTCTCCTTCGTAGAAGCTGTTCAGCAATTTCCCCACCTGGAGTCTGGGATAATTGAACTCCAGTGGTTCCTCTGGTGTTTGAGGCCCTTTGGTAACTCAGAGCCCTGGGAGACAGAGGTTGACTGAGTTGAGCTTTGCTCATGGCTACCCCCTGACTATCCTGGGAGGAAAGACTGAGATGCAAGAGCATCCAGGCACTCTGTTTCAGTAAGGGAGAAGCCAACCTGCTGTTAGAAGGAGGACGTGAAGCCTTGGCATCCAAAGCATGCAACAGTAATTTTCTTAATCGAGCAATGGGTAAGATAAAAAACATTAGCTTGAATTTGGCCCCATACATGAGGCAGCCTCTTGCAGTGGAAACAGCTGCTAACATAATGTCATAAAAGCAGCTAAAAGCAAAGGTGTTGGAGTCAGAAAAATCTGGTGAAAATCTGGCTCTGTGACCTATAAGTTGTGTGATCTGAAGCAAATTATTTAACTCATCTAAGCCTCAGCTTCTTAGTTTGCAAGAATAGAGATTAATGCTTATTTCATAGATTTGTGGTCAAGATTCAATGAAATAATAACATGTATAAAGTACTTAGCCAAGAGTCTGATGCACCCTCCATCGGTGCCAGCCATTATTATTAAAACATTTTTAGACTGTCAGCTCTGAAATCTGTCATCTCATATTGTTTGTTTCCTCATCTATAAAATGAACAGATGAGCAACAAGCTTTCTGAGCTGTTGCCTAGTTGACGTTGTATGCATGGACACAATTATTTCTAGAAAAGCTTCATTAATGCCCCCTCTATGAATAACTGCACAATTTATCTAATACATAGTTTCCATGTCATTTTAGGAAACACTTATTAGCACAGAGCAGCCCCTGAATGAATGCCTTAAGGCCTTTCCTAGAAGCTTGCAGTCTGTTGCCACGGAATAGTTTTGAAGGTTGGGAAACTATAAATGACACATATCCCATGGTAGAAATGAAGATAGAGCTTAGGGGCACACCAGAGTAACATGCGAAAGGAAGTTGTAATGAACATAATTGTAATCAGCTTCCTGCCTAAGGATGTTAGAACCATTATAGCTTAGCTTAGTATTATGCAAGTTAAGACATACCACCGTTTAAACCATCTCTTTCAATATATAGCAACAACACATAGGGAAACCTTGTTAGAACATTGCAATACCTTTCCTAACTGGGTTCCCTACGTCTGATCTCCATTTTAGGCAATTTCAGGCACAGACACTAGATTTTCTTCATCAACCTTTATCATATTCAATGGCTTTCAATTTTTAGAGAATAAGTTCTATAAAATTATAGAAATAAAATAGTACAGATACAGTGAACTGTACGTTGTATAATTTATAATTTATTTCTTTTGTAATTATAGTTAGTTATATAAATAAGTTTTTAATATAATAAGTTCATTCCTCCAATCAGCACTTGTTAAGCTGCTACCCTCTTTCAAGGCACTAGGTTCTTGGGATATAAGGATGTTTAGAGTACACTCCCTTCTTTCCAGAGTATATAGGTTAGTGGAAGAACATATCTGAAACAACAACAACAACAACAACAACATGGCATTGTGTAAGCATTTTAACTTATGCACAATGTCTTATGGGATCAGAGAAGAGAAAGCATTTATTTTTGCTTGAAGAGGACAGAAGAGGCTTCCAGTCTAGGCAAAGAAGAAGGAGGTGGGAAAGGACTGGGAGAAGGGGAAAGATAAAGGAGAAAGCAAGGAGTGGGAAGATGAGCATGAGGAGTAGGGGGGAAGGAGAAGGATGATGATGAGGAGGAAGATGATTTTCTAGAAAATAGCATAGTCACAGAACTCAAAGGCATAGAAATGAACAAAAGCAACTGGGCTCGGTAGTTTACGCCCATAATCCCAGCACTTTGGGAGGCTGAGGTGGGCAGATCACTTGAGGTCAGGAGTTTGGGACCAGCCTGAGGACAACATGGAGAAACCCCATCTCTACTAAAAATATTTTTTAAAATCTGCCAGGTGTGCTGGCGAGTGCCTGTAATCCCAGCTACCCAGGAGTCTGAGGTGGGAGAAGCACTTGAACCCAGGAGATGAAGATGGCAGTGAGCCGAGATCACACTGCTGCACTCCAGCCTGGGTGACCGCATGAGACTCCATTAAAAAAAAAAAGGAAATCAAAGCATTCAGCATGGTGTCTTCAGGGATCTGCAGGAGTGTGCAGTGGCTGACCTGCGGGAGTGTAGGAGGAGAGTGGAAGAGTGGCAGGAAATGAGATTGGGCATAGTCAGATCCTCAAGGAATTTTATATGGCAAACCAAGGCTTGGAGTTTTAGAGATGACAAGGTGTTTAAGGAATAGTTGGACATGATTTCTGTACAGAAAAACCATTCTGAGAGCATTGGGAAGAGTGGCTTGGAAGTACAGTAGACCAACTGAGAGATCAGTTATGGCAAACTTGATGCAAGCGCTCATAATGACAACTACCAGCAGAAATTATACTGGAAAAACATAGATGTAGGCAAAACATCATATTCAGGAGCTTTGTAGTCAGAGCAAAAACAGGTTATACTAGAAAAACATAAATGTCCATTAATAGGCAATGAATATCTACATTGTATTATATTCATATGACAGAATATCATACAGCAGGGAAGAATGATTGAACTACATCTATTTTTGTAGATGTAGTTCTACAAACTACGGAACATGGGTAAACTTCAAAAACAAGAAAAAATCAAGTTGAAAATGAATCTGTAGAGTTGGACAGCATTTATGTAATTTAGAAACATACGTAAAATGCTATTAATATGTATTATACATGTGTCCATACATAGTAAAATCATAAAAATAGCAATATAAAAGATAATATAATACTCCTGATGATAGTTACCTCTGAAAGTGAAGGTGTGTCCTGAGGTCGGTTAGTACAGTTCACTGTATCTGTACTATTTTATTTCTTTAAAAAATACCCAATGATTTGAAACAAATATGGTAAAATAAAATATATTAAAATTAAACATAGAGTACATAGTTGCCATTGTGTTTATACTTTTTATGTTTGTAGATGTTCACTTCCTAAAAAGAATTTAAACTTTACAAAAGTTCTGTGAAGTAGATTCCCCGTTATTGTTCCCAATTTATAGATGGGGCATAGAGTAGTTAACTACATTTGCCACAGTCCCACAGCTAGGAAGTGGCAGAGTTGAGATTTGAACCTGTGTTTTGGTTCTGGAGCCTACAGTTTTAGCCAATGCTGTATATATATCTTCTCTTATGATTAAAAGCAATAGCAGGTGCATTGTGAAAGAAATGGATTAGAAACTTACAGAAGCATATAAAATGATAAACCAGATTCTCCTTACCATTCTCCCCCATCCATGACATTATTCATAATGTTGACTTCTCATAATGGAGACTTCCTACAACCATTTTTGATTTTTGTTTATTTTGTAGTTGCTAAATTTTGAAAATCATCAAACTTCACTAAAAGAAAGATGATGTGAAAGTTATCACACCCCGACTTCCTTCTTTCTTTCCCTTTACAGCTCTTCATAATCTATGACCTTCTTTCAGATATATTGATACATTAGCTATTTTATATTATCAAGAGTTGTAGCATTTGCATTGTTTTGTAATCATATATTTTTAATGCTTTAATAAGTTACTCTAAAGCTAGGAAGTGAATTAAGAGCATTACATTAATATGATACGTAAATATTATTCAGCATAAAACAAAAAATGATTTGAATCATGGAGCAGGAAACATATGCTATTTTACTAAACCTGTGTGGTCAGCTAGAAGAAAAATCTTGAGACAATTAAGGGCAATAAATTCTCTTCTGTTCCATCAACGGATCTGCCAACATTTTATTAAACTGGATCCTTGGAGGGTGGGGCTCTTGTTTACTATTGTTAGAACTCACCTTAGGTTATCTGCTGCTAAGAATGAGAGGAAAAATTTCTCTCTTCAGAAATATAAGTTAGGATTTTAATAAAATCATCAGCAAACACAAGCCACCAATATGGTTAAAACGTATGAAAAGTGATGTTTAGTGATTTATTTATTCTTTATGTTTCCCCCCTGCCAAGTGAGGGAGAGCCTAGAAAAAAATCTGGATCATTATCTTAATTGTAAAACTATACAGTCAATATAATCACATCTGACCATATCACAACAGAAATTATTTTGAATGCTAAATCATGAATTTTTATTAAACTGTCCCCATTAAGTTTATATGCTTACACAGCACCATAAATTCAGCTCATTACAGTCGTGCACATGAAATCCATCCTCTCCTTGTCTGTTATCCATGAAGCCAATTATATTTATGAGTTTGCTTTGTAGTTTTATATGCAATCTTATCCTTTCCTAAATTCTTACCTTGAGATATTATTTCCCACCTTTACCCTTGTTCCTGCTGTACAGTGTGTTAAACTTTTCCTTTCATGTGAGTCCTGCTCTACTTCCTCTCTTCCCAGAAGCCTTGATGGTCTAGATATGTTCAGCCTTTTGTAACTATATCCTTCGCTGACCTCATAATCCAAACTTTTATCCAACTGACCTTCTCTGTCATTGACAACGAGGCCTATAACACATCCTACCATTCTAGTGACTACATCTGTCCCTTGTGAATTTAGAGAGCCTTAATTCATTCATTAAATCATAGGCTCATTCAGTTAATCATTATTTATTAAGAAAATTCTCTGCTCTATGATACATTAAGGTCTGGGGATAAAAAAAATAAAGACATAGTTTCTACCTATAGTGGGCTGAATGGAGACCCAAAAGATAGGTCTCCCTGCAACCTCAGAATGTGGTTTTATTTGGAATAAAGGTCTTTTCAGATGTAATTAAGGTAAGATTCTCTCGAGAGGAGATAATCCTGGATTAGGGAAGGATCTAAATCCAATGACAAGTGTCCTTATAAGAGACAGAAAAGGAGAAGACATGGGGCCACAGAAGAGGACACCATGTGAAGGCAAAAGCAGAGATTGGAGGGATGCTGCCACAAGCCAAGGAATGCCAAGAGCATCAGCAGCTGGAAGAGGCAAAGAGGAATTTTCCACTAGAGCCTTTAGAGGGAGTGTGGACTGATGACACTTTGATTTCAGACTTCTGTCCTCCAGAACTGTGAGAGAATAAATTTCTATGGATTTAAGCTGTCAAGTTTGTGATTATTTGTTATGGCAAAGCTGGTAAATTAATACAGTAGCTATGCCTTATGTAGTCTGAGAGAAGACAGATATGCCCATAACTAACAAATATAGTAAAGATGAAAGAACTATATTCATTCATTCAACAAGTGTTCATTGAGCAACTTCTATGTGCCAAGCATTAGGGACACATCAGTGAACAATACACACTAATATCTCTACTCTCAGGGAGCTTACATTCTAGTGTGGAGGAGACAGGTACAAAATCAAACCAACCAGCCAAACAAACTATAGGGCAAATTCTATGAGGAGAGTTCTGTGGGGGAAAAATACAGCAGAAAAAGAGAGAAAAAGAGGTTTTGGGAGGGGAGGGTTGTCACTTTAAAAGAGGTGGCCAGAAAAATTTTCACTCAAAATATAGCATTTGCACAAAGACCTAAAGGGCAGGTGGGAGCAAGCCATTTGAATATATTTTTGGAGGGGGAGAATATTGAGAACAGGAAATACAATGGCCCTGAGGCAGCAACTGCAATGGGACATATATGGTTAGCATGAAGTAAGCAAGGGAGAA
This sequence comes from Homo sapiens, assembly GCF_000001405.40. Taxonomy (NCBI): domain Eukaryota; kingdom Metazoa; phylum Chordata; class Mammalia; order Primates; family Hominidae; genus Homo; species Homo sapiens. The sequence goes on along the minus strand of NC_000012.12, from coordinate 41,845,498 downwards.
AGTAGTAGGTGGTAAGATGAGACATGGGTGATGGTGATCATGGAAGGGCCTTAAAGCCACAGCAGGGACTTTGGCTTTTACTCTTGAATTTGATGGGATGTCATGAGAAGGTTTTGAACAGAGAAATTGCATGATATGACATATATTTTTGCAAATTTTTCCTTGAATACCAAATACATGATATATATGTCATATGAAATATGTACATATAAATATATTAAATATAAGTATAGTATACATATATGTATGTTCATAAGTATATACCATACTCCTTTCCCCTTCCCTCCTTCTTTTTCTCCCTCCCTGTGCTATTAATTAAAATAACAATTTTACAGTTAATCACAGTCTGTTTGTAACTCCTGCACTATTGTTTTATATCACAGGAGCTTAATTTATATTGCCCAATAGAAAATATGTAGCATCCATCATCACTGGCCATCAGAGAAATGCAAATCAAAACCACTATGAGATATCATCTCACACCAGTTAGAATGGCAATCATTAAAAAGTCAGGAAACAACAGGTGCTGGAGAGGATGCGGAGAAATAGGAACACTTTTACACTGTTGGTGGGACTGTAAACTAGTTCAACCATTGTGGAAGTCAGTGTGGCGATTCCTCAGGGATCTAGAACTAGAAATACCATTTGACCCAGCCATCCCATTACTGGGTATATACCCAAATGAGTATAAATCATGCTGCTATAAAGACACATGCACACGTATGTTTATTGCAGCACTATTCACAATAGCAAAGACTTGGAACCAACCCAAATGTCCAACAATGATAGACTGGATTAAGAAAATGTGGCACATATACACCATGGAATACTATGCAGCCATAAAAAATGATGAGTTCATATCCTTTGTAGGGACATGGCTGAAATTGGAAACCATCATTCTCAGTAAACTATCGCAAGAACAAAAAACCAAACACCGCATATTCTCACTCATAGGTGGGAATTGAACAATGAGATCACATGGACACAGGAAGGGGAATATCACACTCTGGGGACTGTGGTGGGGTTGGGGGAGGGGGGAGGGATAGTATTGGGAGATATACCTAATGCTAGATGACACATTAGTGGGTGCAGCGCACCAGCATGGCACATGTATACATATGTAACTAACCTGCACAATGTGCACATGTACCCTAAAACTTAGAGTATAATAAAAAAAATAAAATAAAATAAAAAAAAAATAAATGAAAAAAAAAAAAAAAAAAAAAAAAAAGAAAATATGTAGCATCTCCAGAAAATAGCTTGGAGATTTACAAGTGATTAAGATACAGTGCTCAAGGTTATTTAATTTTGTACTTGTTTTGCTTTCATACTGTTTAAGAAAAGTTCCTCAAGGGCAGTGTGCAGGTTGAGTATCCCTCATCTGAAAGCTTGGGACCGGAAGTGTTTTAGATTTAAGATTTTTCCAGATTTTGGAATATTTGCACAGACATAATGAGATATCTTGGGGATGGGAACCAGGTCTAAACATTTATGTTTTATATATAGACCTTATGCATATAGCCTGATGGTATTATTTATAATATTTTAAATAACTTGTGCATGAAACAAAGTTTTGATGGTGTTTTGACTGTGACCTGTGATATGAGGTCAGGTGTGGAATTTTCCACTTGTGGCATCATATGAGTGTTGAAAAAATTCTGGGTTTTGGAGAATTTCTCATTAGAGATGCTCAACCTGTACCTTATTCCACTGTCTCTCCCAGTACAATGCCTTTCCCATACTTGGTATGCAGTAAATACTTTTTGACCAATAACCCATGTAACTGTGAGATGAGTTGCTTACATTTTTATCCTGAGTGCCAGTGTTATTTATAAGCTTCCCAAATAAATAGATCACTAGAGGTTAAAGATGTTCTCTAATTTTGAGGGTATTTGTATGTTTATGTTTATGGGATAGTAAAACATTCAAGCCTGTCATATTCGTTTCCTTTCACTGCTGTAACAAATTACCACAATTTTTTTTGTAATAAATTTTATTTTTTTAATTGTGAAAGTAGCAATTTTCTCATTCATTCTAATACATTTTCTTTTTTGGTTTTATTTTATTTATTTATTTTTAATTTAATTTAATTTAATTTAATTTATAAGTTCTGGGATACATGTGCAGGACATGCAGGTTTGTTACATAGGTAAATGTGTACCATGGTGGTTTGCTGTACTTATCAACCCATCACTTAGGTATTAAGCCCAGCATCCATTAGCTATGCTTCTTGATGCTCTCCCTCCCCCTGCACTCCCTGACAGGCCACAGTGTGTGTGTTTCCCCTTTCTGTGTCCATGTATTCTCACTGTTCAGCTTCCACTTATAAATAAGAACATGCAGTGTTTGGTTTTCTGTTCCTGTGTTAGTTTGCTGAGGATGATGGCTTCCAGCTCCATCCATGTCCCTGCAAAGGACATGATCTCATTCTTTTTATGGCTGCATAGTATTCCATGGTGTATATGTACCACATTTTCTTTATCCAGTCTATCATTGATGGACATTTGGGTTGATTCCATGTCTTTGCTATTGTGAATCGTGCTGCAGCAAACATATACATGCATGTATCTTTATAATAGAATGATTCATATTCCTTTTGTTTTATACCTAGTAATGGGATTGCTGGGTCAAATGGTATTTCTGGTTCTAGGTCTTTGAGGAATCGCCACACTGTCTTCCACAGTAAATTACTGCAAATTTAGTGGCTTAAAACAATACAGATTTATTCCTTAACAGTTCTGGAGATCAGAGGTCTCAAGTCAGTTTCACTGGGCTAAAGTCAAGGTTTTGGCAGGGCTGGTTCCTTCTGGAAGCTCTGAGGGGATAATCCATTCCCTTGCGCTTTTCAGCTTCTAGTGGCCCCCTGTATTCCTTGTCTTGTGGCCCCTTCCTCTGCCTTCAAAGTGCATCCCTCTGCTGCTGTCATCACATCACCGTCTCCTCTTCAGCATCTCCCTCTGACTTTTGCGTGTAAGGATCCTGTGGGCCCACCTGGATAATCGAGGACAATTGCTCGATGTCAAGATCCTTAACTTAAACACATCTGCAAAATCATTTTGCCATAAGAGAGAACGTAGTCACAGGGTCTGGGGATTAGGATGTGAACATCTTGTTGGGAGGGGGTGGCATTTTTCAGCCTACCATGTTTGGCTAATGTAAATTCAAACAAAAAGGCAAAATTGAAGGGAAAGTAACTTGACATACAGACTCACTCACTCTACCGTGCCGTAATCTGAAGGACAAATGAATCTGCAGATAAGCAAATGTGGGAAAATCATGAGGGTTGCAGAGGGCTCATCTTCTAGGTAGTCAGTGGCGTTTGGTGATGTATGATGATTAATTACAATCTGCAAAGGCTGTCCCAGATGTAAAGACCTCATAAAGCCAGAGATGACATCAATGGTTTATTAGTTTTCATGATGGAAGCATCTTAAACGGATGTGGCCTAATTGTCCATTTTTCATCTATTTCTGTTTAACAGTTGGGGGCTTGCATGCATGTTTGTCAAACCTCTCTATATATGTGAGAGTTTTTTCTTGAAAAGTTGTGTGTACACTAATTTTTCAAAAATTAAATCCTCATTTGAATGAACCCTGTTAACTCTCACTCAAGAATTGTAAAGCAAATCTTTCTAATAAGTGAATTATGAAGGTTACTTAAGGAGGGCTTATATGTATGTTCTGAATAAAAGGGATTTTAGGAAAAATCTACTTTTTTATTAAAAATTCAGATTAAAAGCTAGCATTTTCTAAACAGTACACTCTATGGCAGGTTTGTGGATACAGTGTCCTATGTGGTAGAACCTGTCAGATGTTAGGCAGAAACCATGCGGAAGAATCCATTACTATGTCAGTTTTGATAATTAAACACAATCTTCTCCCATTGAGAGCACACATGCTTCAGAGGTAACACATTCAGGCACTGCTGCCTTAAAGAGAGGGTGACTTCCTTCTTGACTGGAGGTGCTGGGCATTGAAAAATTCTTGAGATCTAAGGAGGAAAAAAATGCTACAGAAGATGGGTGTGAGTTGATGAGGATGCAGGAGGTCTAAGCACTAACTTCATCCACTGTCTAGGCCTGTGCAGGTAGCAGCTGACACCCTAGCTGGGGAAGGGAGAAGGAATCAAGAAACTTCGCTAAGTCCCCTAATATCCTGTGGGTATGCATAGCCTTAAATTTAGGATCTTAGTGGAATAATCCCTCAGAGTCATATGCTTATTTATTCCCAGCTGGCAAAAAAAAAAACTCTCCACACAGCTCAAGCTCATTTCTTGCTGAGCCTCCTAAGGATGAATAATTCCTGCAGTTCTTTCTTCCCTTCTCCCCTTCATTGCTCTGTCAGAAAGCTTATTAACATATGTATATTCCTGGCTTTTCCGCTATATGAACGATTCAGAAACAAATTAAAATGTCAAGTTCTCCATGGCTTCCTGGTAATATTAAAATCTACCAGTTTCTATTAAATTTCCATCAAATAATATTATTCAGAGACAAAAGATCAATTAATCCCTGTTCTGCTCCTGAAAAACACTGATCACAGGAGACCCAGTGATGTGAGCTCTTATTTAATCAACAGAGTCAATGGTGCCCTGGAACATAGGAGAAAATGAGACCCAGACATAAAGACTTGAGCCATGCCCTCTTTATCAACTCCACATATTGTATGAGAAAGGCTGGTTCAGAAGGTTTGATAGATACTCACTCAAGTATGCCATTTCATAAGGAAGAAGAAGTTACTTCCAGATTTGAATGAACAGCTTTGGAAGAAATATGACTTTATTTTATGTGACATGGGCTACCTTTGTAGAAAGAGTAACCACTCCTTTTATAGCAGGACTAATATAAAAGAAAAAGCCTTTTTCATCATTACTTCCAACTACTCCCTTGGCACTTTTACAAGGAGAGCTGGGCAGTTATTGTTTCCGTCTCAAGATAAACGTAAGGAGAAGTATCAATAAAAAAGTAATTATCATAATAATAATTATAATAACACAAACCAAAATAATAACAATGAAAGTAATAATCATAAAAAACATTATTACATCTTTCTTCTTTAGGTCTTTCACCCACTGAATCTTTTTAATGTGTAGGAGCTGTGGGTTTTCATCCATTCCGCCTTAAGCAGTAATTGCATTTGATTTGGCCTGCACAATTTTACCCATAATATTAGAAATAGAAGAGAGTCGTGCAGTGTGCTTATTATTGGTTATTATTAAAGATGGGGATCAGTGCCTTATCATGGGGAGCCATCAGACTGTCACAAACAACTTCCTTTCACTCACTTTCAGACTGCTGTGATATTCAATCCAACTCTGATTTAAACCTAACGTCGGGCTATTTTTAACTGAGAAAACCACTTATTGGTCTCTCCTTCTTAGGCTCTGATTTTGGCTTTTTTTGTGACTAATTCTGTTAGTTTCACCCCCTGCATTCAGTAACTACCATAATCAGAATAGAACCAATGCCACATCCAGAAGGAAATGTATCTTTGTAATAGATACATCAACAATTTCCCCTTCTCTGGATGGGCCCTGGTTTGCAAGGTTGTCTGTCCCTGGAACCCAGGCCCTGTGGCCCTTGCTGATTGGTTTTGGGTGTAGGCATCTGAAAGAAATGCTGCCAGTCTTTGCACTTCTGTGAATTTTCATGTGGTGGTCACCAAGGGGAGCCCCTCTCTGGCTGTGAGAGCCACAGGAGCTTGGGTGGCTGTGCTTTCTACAATGTGGAGGAAGCTAGTCTCCAGGAGAGATGGGAGCAGACCTGAAAAACAAAGACAGCAAGAGCCCAGGCAGCTTTCGAGTTGTCTCTGAGGCTCAGCTTTACCCCACCCTTCCTGTGTCCTACAAGACTTTCTCATATACCTTGGACAAATTCTCTTTTCTTTCCAAGTTAGTTTGATTTGGACATTTTTCTTTGTAAGTTGATGAATCTTAATGAATTCAGTCTTGTTCAGGTAGTGGTTCACAGGATCACAGGACCAAAAGCTCTGGTGGTGTGGTGTGTAGAAACTAGCACTTGTGAATGTTTTACTGCTTTTGTAGGTTAGAGGACAGTCAAGGTTATATGCGTAATTGAACATCATTTATACTTGCACACATTCTAACATGTTTTCTTGAGGATGAGAGAGGGAGTGGCGTTATGGTAGGTGCCTGGGAGTTGGGTGGATTCTGTGAAAATGTGTCATGCATCTGGAAGATGTGGCCTTGTCATGTCCATTACCATAAATTTGCTGAGTGCTGCAGCCTATTCTGGGCTCCAGAATCTTCATCCAATTTGTCCATTGGATCCACCTGGTTAGGACATCCAGCTTTAGAGACATATGAAATGTTCTTTAAGCTCTCATTTTTATAAAGCCAATAGTGTATAATGAAATGTTTTGGGGGGAGTTCCTCTTTGAGCACAAGAGTGTTTATTCTTGGGAATCAGGCATATCTTGGTTTGTCTAATGGGCTAGAGCGGTAAGCTTGCCAGGAGTGTTTGCAGTGGGAACTGAGATCATTGTAAGGAAAGGAACAGTCAGGATGAGCCTAATACAAGCTGTCAGTGGCCTGAGAGGAGGGGCTGAGAGCCATACAGTATGGTAGTCCAGTCCCCATGGCCTCTTGTGTGACAGAGTGGTTCTATTATACATACAAAGGAAGAAAATATCATAAAACAAAAAGTTCCCCAAATAACCCAAGATTTTAGAGGCTCCCTTCCCCCACAAGAAGCTCTGTAAGGCAGTGTTTTTCAGGGCAGGATTCCTTTGGTTCTCTTTTAAAATCCAGAAGAGGAAGAGAGGCATTCTCCTTTCTTTCGTATGGAAGACAGCCTGGCTGTGGTATTTTGAGGACTCTGGAAGACAGGGATGCTCCTGTGTTTCCTAGTCCTGTGTTTCAGGGGGTGATGAGAGCCAGCACATGGCAGCAAATCCCGCATATCTTCTGGGAACTACAGGAAATAGCTGGGAAAGACCTTGAGGAGCGTTGGAGGTCTTGTAAGGTGGATGGGTCAACAGTCAGATGGGGGAAAATGGCTACTGCTTTATTGAGTGCTTGTCATTCACCCAAGTGACCTATGTGTTTTATAACTTCCCATCTGCCAAGATGCAAACTAAAATATTAGGGGTTGATATTTCTCTCCTGTCTTCTGGCTAGCTTGTGTTCTCAAATGAGGGTAGGCTAAAGTTCTTTTCCTCTTCAGGGAAAGAGGGAAAGTGGAGGAGAGGCTAATGCTAGGTTAGGAAATGGAAGACAACCTTGGCTCAGGAAGCTGGAAGGCAGAGACCCAAGTACTCTTCCAGCCTAGTTTCTCCACAAATGACAAAATGGGTACCAGTTAACTCTTTGTCTTGGAAATCTTGGTTATACGTAGAACTCAGAATTATCTCTGTTAATATAGAAACCAGAGAAGACATTTGCCATCAAGTGCTAACAAGCTGTAGCTAGGATAGAGGTGGATTTGAGTTTCATAGCTGGACTCTTAGTATTTGCAGCCAGCTAGTTGCACAGGCTGGCCCTATCATTTGAGTACCCTTTCAACATGACTTATATTTATATGCCCAGTTGAAATTTGGGGACCCTACTTATTACATTATGGTGGAGTTTTAATCTTCTCTACAGTTCTGTGAAGTAGGCACTACTTTTATTCCCATTTTACCAGCATGAAATTCTAAGATTAAGTAATTTGCTCAAAATCACACAGCTAGCAAGTGTGAACTCAGGGAATCTAAGACCATAATGTGCTCTTTTAAAGAAATTGTTTATTAGTGAGTAATATACATATAGAAAAGTATACATGTCCTAAGTGTACAGGTTGATACACTTTCATAAACTGAATACCATTTGTAATCAGCACCTAGATGAAGAAACAGATCATTACCAGCATCCTGGGAGCCCTCTTATGCCCGTTTCTAGTCACCATCCCTGATAAGGGCAACTGCTCTCTTGACTTGTAATTGCATAAGGTAGTTTGACAGTTTTTGTACTTCATATAAATGGAATTTTACAATATTCTCCTCTATGTCTGGCTTCTTTTATTCAGCACTGAAAATCACTCATGTTCTTGCATGTTGCAATGACATCCATGCTGTTTTAGTTGGTTCACTCCTGTTGCTATAGTGTTTTCTTGTTTGAATATACTCTGTTCATTATACCATTGGTGGGCATTTGGGTAGTTTTCAGGTTTGGACATTGATGATAGTACTGCTATGAATATCCTACTGTATACCTTTTGGTAAATGTGACTATACATTTCTGTTGGGCATTTACCTAGGAGTGGAATTGCTGTGTCATATACAGCACATATATGTTTATGTTCATCTTCAGTAGGTGCTGGCAACCAGTTTTCCAAAGTGGTTGAACCAATTTACTCTCCCACCCGCAGTGTGTGGAAGCAATGGTTGTTTCACATTCTTGTTAGCGCTTGGTATTTTCTGTCTTTTTCATTATAGACATTTTGGTGGATGTGGAACAGTAGATATCATGTTGTAGTTGATTTTAATTTTCTTTTCCCTGTACATTTTCATATGTTTTTTGGTGATTCTATAGTCTCTTTTGTGAAGATTCCGATCTAGTCTTTTGTTCTTTTTCCTATTGTGTTATCTCTTCTTGTTACTGCTGTGCAAGAGTTACCTGTAAATTGTGGATGTGAATCCTTTGTTGGATATGTATTGTGAATATATTCTCCCCTTCTTTGGATTGTCTTTCATTTTCTTATGGTGCCCTATGAAGACTCTATGAAGAATGGAACTGTACTGAAACTTTAACACAGTTTAGTTTATCTATTTTTTTTTTTTTATGGCTAGCACTTTTTGCGGTCTCTTTCAGAAGTCTCTGACTACCCCAAGGTCATGAAGGTATTTTCTTCTGTTTACTTTTTACGTTTTTTTCTGTAATCTATCTGGACCTGATATGGATGCATGGTGTAAAGTTGGGAGTAAAGGTACATTTTTTTCCATATGAATATTCAATTGGTCCAGTACCATTCATTGAAAGGCCCATCTTTTCCCCATAGCACTGCAGTGTCACTTTTGTTATAAATCAGATAACCTTATAAGTGTAAGTTTGTTTTGGACTCTATTCTGTTTTGTTGGTCAGATAGCCTTCTTGTCCACAGACTGTTCTTTTCACCACTGTGCTGTTTATATGAACCAGTTTATACTTGCCAGATTTGTGTGACCTGGAGAAATATGGGTTACATACAATATTTTAAATATTGTCTTACAAACTCATTTGCACACAATAAAGTAAAAATAATATATAAGTTGATATAATATTATTTTAAAATTAATTTTCATCTTTTCCTGCTAAATGAATCATACTTTATTTCATTTGTTTAAGAGAAGTATCTGCATTCTAATTCTTCCTGAGTTTTCTCTTATTTTTAATGGGTTTCCAATCATCTGCCAGTTACCTTCTTTCTTTTCATGCTGGTCCAAATTTAACTCACTTCTGGGTTGAAATGGACACAAAATTCTCAGAAACTCCATATTTATTTGTTGAAAACATACATTTTAACTATAGAAAGTTTATTAACTTTATTTCTGAATTTCCCAATTTGCTACTGTGCAGATCTATGCAACACTGAAATGCTGAACACTGCATCAGTGAGCTTCTTGAAAAATGCCTGATGTAGATTACTCAGGCCTGAAAAGAATTTCTCACCTTATTTCCTGTGATTTATCAGTAGCAGGGGTTATATAGATAATTTTTGCTTTTGATGGGAAGTAGAAAACTTCCAGTTTGATGATTAACTGAAAACATCTCCCATTTTGCAAAGTCATTGACTCATTATTGCATTGTTACAACTTCTCTTTTCTCCCACTCCCATCCATAGCAGTCTGCAATCTTCCTGATAACTATTTTCTTATTTGGGTGTTAAACCTTGGCAGTGCATTCTATATAATGTGGAAAAAAAAAGCTGCTGCTCATTCTACATGTACAGTTTAAGGATAAGCAAAATTAAGAGGTGGCAAGATGTGAGTAAACCTTAAATGAACTTCTCCACCCCTACCTTCTCTCTGAAGCTATTCTTTGCAAAAGAACATAATGCATCTTCATTTTATTTTATTTTTATTTTTGAGACGGAGTTTCGCTCTTTCGCCCAGGCTGGAGTGCAGTGGCACGATCTTGGCTCACTGCAAGCTCCGCCTCCCGGGTTCAAGTGATTCTCCTGCCTCAGCCTCCGAGTAGCTGGGATTACAGGCACCCGCCACCATGCCCAACTAATTTTTGTATTTTTAGTAGAGACTGGATTTCACCATGTTGGCCAGGCTGGTCTTGAACTCCTGACCTCCACCTGCCTCGGCCTCCCAAAGTGCTGGGGTTATAGGCATGATCCACTGTGCCCTGCCCATAATGAATCTTTATATTGTCTCCTTTCAGATTGTAAATGTCAATGAGATAAAGGTGACTAACATTAGAATTTAACTTGGATCAAAATTTTTTAAAAAATTAATGCTTCTGTGAGTCTTAGTTGTAACTTAAAGTGGCCATCAGGTACTACTCTCCTGCGAAAGGCATTGTGATGGGTTCCATTTTTATGAAGGGGCCTCAAATATTGATATAATAATTCATATAATTATGTAAAACATGATTTCTTTTATGGGCAGGGAAGTCCATGAAAATTTTGGCCAGTGTCATATAAATGGAAGTGTAATGTGAAATTTCTCAGGTATCTCTTTGCAAAGGGAAGGCCTTTATCCTATGGCTAGGATCTTGGATGTGATGGCTGAAGCATAAGCAGCTATCTTGTTACTATGAAGATGAAGGGCAGATCTTGGGGAGCTGGAATGGAGAGTTAGAAAGAGCCTGGGTCCTAACTGTAACAGTTCAGGACAGGTACCTCCAGAAATCCATCTCTATTTCGTTCAAGCCACTTCTTTGGATTTTCAGTAACATGCAGCTGATCCTTACCTTAATAGAAATACTATTTTAATATGGATTTAGGCTGGACTGTTTCTGACAATAGCGTTTTTTTTCTTTAGGAGGTATGGGTCCCTTGTGTGTGTGTGTTCTTGCACATACTTTGTTCAATACTTACCTGACACAAGGCTGTAAGAAAAATGAGGATAAATATAAACATCTGTGGCAGAGAGATCTTGAATGGTGCTAGACTTGGGGTAACAAAGCCTACTTGGACTGTTTAGCTGAAGCTTTTCATGATGTTATTCTCAATTAATTAACTTAGGCTTGGGGAAAGGTAGGGTTGAATGCTATTTTGCTTTAGAATGCCCCCTGGGCAGAGAGAAACATGGCTATCTCCTCTGAGTAGAAGATTGAATTTTCCAAGTGCAGCAATGGATGGAGATGTGCACTGGAAAAAAATGAAGAGTGGATATGTTTCAGAGAGGAGGAGAGGAGGTTGATTCTTGAGACAGGGTTATGAGTGTTTCTACTACAGCAGCTGAGGAAAGTTCTGGCTTTATGCCTTTTTAAATTTGCATTTTCTTAGGATGGTGGTAGCACTGAAGTTTTAAGTTTTTATCTTCTGCTTATCAAATTGCTTTGCAATTTGTCTGGTTGCTTATAGGTTCTCAGTACCTAAAACTTGTTATGCAAAACCTCATGTTGTGGTTGAAGGGAATTAAGAAATTAGACCATAAGGGAAAGGACGAGCTTTCCCATGTCAGCCCTCGAGTGAGGTCAGCACTATCAAAGGTAAGGGTAGTTTAAAGATTCAAGGTCTGACCATCATGAAGCTAGCAGATGCCCAAGGAGGGGCTGAGGGGGATGGGAAGAAACAGCTGCTTAATCAGTGACTTGGGTGGATATGAGCAAAGTCTCACTTTCTTCCAGATTCCTTTTTCTCAATTTACAAAAGAAAGTTAAACCTCTTAAACATTCAGATCTTACCATGATGTATTGCTTGGGGCATTGCCCTTGGATTTATATACTTTTAGGTCAGGCAAAGGAATAATTTGAAATACTGGTGTAGGTTTTGGAAGAGTGGATATTCCAATGGCTGATAACACAGTGTAAAAAAAGTTGGCAACTAATTCTTTGCTTTCAAAAGCATTGAATGAAAGCTTATTTGAAATGTCCACCAATAATTGTTGAAACTGAGTTTAGATGGTATATTACTGTGTTATTTTGTCCAATATCTAGCAAGGAGTTTAAAATATTGAGTGAAATTGCTATAAGAGAACTCCTTTCATTCTCTTCTACTTATTTTTATGAATATCTTAGTCTGAGTTCTCAAAAATACAAAGCCAAAACAAAGCTCAGCTGCTAATATTTTATTTGGATGGGTGAATGGGTGAATTCCAGATCATTGAGAGTGAGGTACAAAGTGAAGTGAGGTGGTGAAGGATGGGAGCAAATACAAGATGATGCATTATTACACTGGCCACAGTCTAAACCTGGTTGGTTATTCAGTTTCATGGGATATTTCTGTATTTCTGGAGAGACTGTTTGGGATCACTGTGTCTCAGAAAAGTTTGTTTGGAAGAGGAAGGGCAAGGAATTTATTTATGATCTCCTGACCATATCCTGCCTTTCCAGTGAAAGTGAACAGTAATTATTCATTGTTAATTGATATGGTAAGTGTACTGGCTGGGAATCTCCACTGAGAGTTTATTAGGCTCCATATTGCCTGTTCTCTTTCCAATGAAAGTGAAAGGCAGGGTATGGTTAGGAGCCCATATTCTATGAGGCTTAACCGCATACACTTCTGGATTATGTACACAGCCCCTTTGGGCAGTTGTTAGAAAAGTCAGAGCCTTTATGCATTACAGTGAGGGGGAGGTACTGGAACTGGACTGCATCTGCTGGAATGGGCATGGCTTGGTAAGGTAAGGATGGCTTGAGCGTGGGAGAGACTGAGGCACCAGGGGTATTAATTGATATAGTAAGTGTGCTGACTGTGATTCACCACTGAGAGTTTATTAGGTTCCATATTGTCTCTTGTAAAGGGTAACGGGGGAAGGTTCTATGGGCAATTATTGTGATTGAAATTTCTCAGCAATTCTATTTATTATCTATCTATCTATCTATCTATCTATCTATCTATCTATCATCTATCTATCTATCTATCCATCTATCTGTTCATCCATTTATCTATTGAAAGAATAGAATATTCATACAGAGGTTTCATAAACTAATTGGAAAAAGAAAGAACATAGCCCAGTGCATCTCATTTAGAGAACCCTTCTATTAAAACTGTACTTTTTTGGTTTAATATTTATAAAATGTATAAGGCATTTATGTTGTTTTGATTAACTGTGTACTGCTATTGAATGATAACTGAATCTAGAAAAAATTTTAACTTCTAGATCCTTATGATAACATAAAATTTTCATTTTAATTTATATTAATTATTGTAGAGTTATGATGGGATTATAAACAATAAATATTTTTATGTTAGGTTAAAATTCTTGTTAGAGTAGTGGAATGAATATAGCTGTTAAAGAAGAGTTAAAAAAAACAGTGTGGAGGTTTCTAAAAACTTAAATGTACTATAACAATATGACCCAGCAATTTCACTTCAGGACATGTAGCCAAAATAATCAAAAGCAAGGACTTGAACAGGTTTTTTTTGGTTGTTGTTTTTTGTTTTTTTTCTTTTTTTGACTGAGTCTCACTCTGTCACCCAGGCTGCAGTGCAGTGGCGCAGTCTCGGCTCACTGCAACCTTTCCTCCCGGGTTCAAGCAATTCTCCTGCCTCAGCCTCCTGAGTTGCTGGGATTACCTTGCCACCATGCATGGCTAATTTTTGTATTTTTAGTACAGACGGGGTTTCACCATGTTGGCCAGGCTAGTCTCAAACTCCTGACCTCAGGTGATCTGCCTGCCTTGGCCTCCCAATGTCTGGGATTACAGGCATGAGCCACTGTGCCTGGCCTTGAACAGGTATTTGCACACCAATGTTTATAGCATTATTCACAATAGCCAAAAGGCGAAAACCACCTAAATGTCTATCCATAAATGATAAATAAAATGTATATACATACAATGTCATTGTATGAATTGAAAGGCTGAATACCTAGAATCGCATTGTAAAATCATTCATTTGCATTAAAATCATTCAGGCTTAAAAATGGAGGAAAATCTGACACATGCTGCAACATAGATGAACCTGGAAGACATTACCTTAAGTGAAGTAAGCCAGCCACAGAAAAACAAATATTGTATGATTCTACTTACATGAGATGTCTGGAATTGTCAAATTCATAAAGACAGGAAGTGGAATGGTGATTACCAATGGCTGGAAGGAGGTGGAATGGGGAGTTATTGTTTAATGGGTACAAAGTTTCAGATTGAGATGATGAAAACATTTTGGAGACGGATGGTGGTGAAGATTGCACAACAATGTGAATGTACTTGATGCAATTTAACTTTAAACTTAAAAATGGCAAAATAATAAATTTTATGTTATGTATTTTACCACCATAAAAAGAATTTATTCATGTAATAAAAATGGATATCAGTGGGTATTAAATAATTGTAATCTCCTATTTTATTAAATCTAAGTTACTACTATTACTTTTTGTTTCACTAAGAGAAAATTCTGTAACTGAAACTGACATGACTTTTTTTTAATCACTTACTTAAAAATTTTATTCTATATGTATTGAAAGAGATCTTTTAGACTTATTTGGATCTTTACCATCAATTATGCTTTCCTCTGAGCCATCAAAGTTTGGTGCTACAGCCTTCCCTCCTCCCCTTCCCCCCTCCCTCTCTCCCTCCCTCCCTCTGGTCTTGCTTTGTCACCCAGGGTGGAGTGCAGGGGCACAATCATAGCTCATTGCAACCTCAAACTCCTGGGCTCAAGATATCCTCCTGTCTCAGCCTCCCAAGTATTTGGGACTACAGACGCATGACACTGTACCTGGCTAATTAATTTTTTTTTTTTTTTTTTTTTTTTTTTTTTTTAGAGATGGGGTTCTCACTTGGTTGCCCAGGCTGGTCTCAAACTCCTAGGCTCAAGTGAATCTCTCACCTTGGCTTCTCAAAGTGCTGGGTTTATAGGTGTAAGCCTATAGCATTTCTTAAATATAATTTTCTCTGGAATTTTCTTCTAAGTCACTGACACCCACAAGCATGCCTGACACTTGACTAGAGTAATAATGATAGTCATCCCAATTTCAGATATCTTAAAATTTGAAATAAGAAAGCACAATACTTGGAATCCATTGAATACATTTAAATGAATGAGGTAATAGTTATATCAAAAATGTTAATACTTCTAACATGCTAAAAATTAGATCCTTTGCAACCATGAAAGTTATGATGAAAATGTTAATTTTCAACCAAATACATTGGTGAAGGGGTACATCATTTTTTTCAGAATTCCTTTATCAGATAAATTAAGAACAGTTTCATGAAGAAGGTGAACCATGAAGTGATAAAAGACTGAAAATTGAGTTAATGGTATTTTATTTAAATACTATTTACATATTTTGGTTATTTTTTGGCTGGAGATTATAGCTTATAATGAATGATCAGTTTGTAGGTTACATGAAATGAATCCAGACAAATTCAGATAAAGGAAATGTATATATTCAACCAAATATTTCCATTCCTTTCAGCATTCTCTCAAACATCTTATTTTCTATGGGCTTTTTTCAACTTTCATTTGTGTTTCCATAGCTATTCTGACACCAGCTTTTACCTTGCCAATTTACATGGGTCACTCTGTCACCCAGTCCGGAGTGTGGTGCGCAATCTCTGGCCACTGCAGCCTCAGCCTTCCTAGCTCAAGCAATCCTCCTGCCTCAGCCTCACAAGTAGCTGGGATTACAGGTATGTGCCACTACACCCTGCTGATTTTTGTAATTTTTTTTGTAGAGATGGGGTTTCACCAAGTTGCCCAGGCTGGTCTTGAACTTCTGGACTCAAGCAATTCTCCTGCGTTGGGCCTCCCAAAGTGCTGGGATTATAGGCACGAGCCACCACATCCAGCCCCTTGCCAGTTTTGAGTATCTTCAACAATTCTTCTATGTTGTCCTAACTTTTCTTAAGATTTAATCATCCAGTTCAAGCCAGCAATTGGGCAACTACTTTAAAACTCATTTGCAAAGTGACAAATGCAGCATCCTAGCTACAGATAATAAATACTTTGAACTACCAACTCAGATTGCAAAGATTGCTAAGTGTACATTTGAAGATATTTTCTGGTGATTCTGACAGACTGAGATTTTAATATCCTTGGGGTATAATCATCAGGGACTAATATAGATGAGAAGATGCACAAAGATCTTCATTAAAGGGAATTTAAGTAAGTGAAACATTCCAATTTAATATCGGGTGACTTTTAAGTAAAGCTAAATGTCTGAAAGCTTTGATTTTTAATATGATAATGTCTTAACTTCTAAGTGATCTTGTATTGAACTATGGCTTTGATTGACTTTTCAAAATTTGTGTAGCTCAGGAAACAAGGTTTCATTATTCTTGCTTTTTAATAGATGGTAATGCTACAATTGATTTTTAAAGATAATATACTCAGGTATTCAGGTAATAAAATTATTTTTATTGCTGAATTCAAATGGGGAAAAATTTTTAATTTAAAGATCTATTCAGTTTCTTTCCTTAAAACTTGCAAGAAACATAAAAGAGTTTCTTTTCTTTAGTAATGAAATCCTGTTTAGAAACCAGATTCTGAATATTTGAACATCTTCATAAAGAAAAGGAAAATGTGTTCTAATTTTTTGTGTAAGCCTAATGGTACATAAGATGTTTGTGTAAATCATATTAGGCTGCTATAATTTGAGAGGATAGAAACTTCTTCACTATTGGAATTAGAACTGATGAAATGTGGAAGTGTACAGTGGCAAGTGACAAGCAATTTTGTCCCTCTTTCTCTTTCCATCCAATCTGGCCATCTAGACTTCCTGGAACTTGATGCTTCAGAGAGGGAATTTCTACTGAGCTTAAGGGGCTCAGTCTTCCAGGACCTAGGTGGTCTGGCTTTTCCTTTTTGCGGACAAGCTCTTTGTGTTCCTGACTGTCCGTGTAAAGTTGGTGACTGAGAATGTCCCTTTAGTCTTTGCCTTGAATCAAAACATTTGATAAGTTTCTTTGGAAAGTTTATAAACCTCTGATATTTACTACCAGTAACCACAGTTCTAAATGTTACTCAGAAAGTACTAAGAGTTGCCCCCAAAGAGTCTCAAGTTCTAGTCTAGACATAGTCTATCCTAAGCAGCAACCAGTTTCCCTTTGTTCATCAAGATTAATGACCTCGGCCAGTACAATAACACATTTTGCCTGTTGGTTCATTGGTATGGAGAAGCCAGAATGGCTCAGTGGTAATGTTAACTCCCAGTTCTACAGGACCATTGTTGTATTCCTTACTGGAAGCATTCCTTTTGCCAGGATGAAGACTTCTAAACCCACACTGTTTAAAGTTGTGGGGATGGGAATAAACACATTTTGCTGATGAATCTCCAATCTGGGGAGGCCTCGGTGGAGAAAGCTCACCTCCTCTCACTTGGAATCAACAGATGTCTGGCAGTTGATGCTGGTAGTTGACTAGGGAGACTAGAACAGCTGAGGCTGTAGTGGAACATGGCTTTTTCATGTGGCTGCTTGCTTCCTCACATCGTGGTGGCTGGGTTCCCAGGGGCAGCATCGCACGAGGTGACAGCACCAGGTGGAAGTTGTATTCTTCCTGTGATTTAACTTTGGAAGGCACATTGCATGCATCTTCCATACTTTCTTGGTCAGAGTAGTCTCAAGCTCCTACCTAGATTCCAGAGGAGGGAACATAGACTCCAGCTCTCACAGGAAACAGGGCCAGTTGCACAGTATTACCTATGGGGAGATTTTAGATTCTCAGATCTCAAAATGTATTGATATTTTCCCAAATTGCCAACTTGCTTTTAGAGCAAAGGTGAAGTGGGATGGTTTCTTTCATGGCCTCCAGCAGGGCACAACAGTTCCTCACTCCAGATATTATAGGCTTTTATATTTTTATAATTTGATAGTGAAAATAATATGTTTTAATTTATGTCTTTGCTTACTAAATAGGGTAAATATTGCTGCACATGTCTGTTGTTTACTGAATTGTTTGTTTTTCACTTACCTAAAGGAGTCAGTATTTTTAACTGTTTTCTGTGGGTTCCTAAAAATTAAGGCTATTAGCCTTTTGTGAATTTTTTTGGTGAATATTTTTCCTGTTTTTAAACAATTCCACTTGTGAAATTTGGTTATATATAAAAGTTTCCTGTTTTCATGCAGTCTTATTTTTATTCTTTTACCTAAGAAACTTTTCAAATGTATCTACTAATTCATTTGTCCATTTTCTCTGGTGTTGAATGTACTTTTCACTTTTGTTATATTGTGGCTTTAAATTGGTAGTCTTTATCTTGGATTGCTGTCTTCTATTTTACAAATTTCACAGAGGCAGCATCTTCTTGACTATTGTAGACAACATTAATCATATATTTAATAAAATATTCTTATACCTGTAAACTATTTCTGAGCAAAGAAGAGTTTGTGATTCTTTTGAAGATTGGTGTTTCTCTCCACAACTCACGTTTTTTCTTCCTTCCCAAGATCTTTTCACATATCCCATGACTTTCTTCATTTAGCTCATCCTTTTAGAGGGGACCTATGTTTACCCAATATTGCTTTATAATTTGTAAATTTATCTAAATATCAAGCTGTGATGTTAACCAAATATCTCAGAGAAGTCCCTCCACAACTTCCCTATAGATCCAGAGTGAAGTAAAAATAAGAATAAGTTATTATAACCGGAATGTTAAAAGGTACCAGGAAAAGCCATGCTGGAGCTTCTGTGTCCTGGGGCAACGAGAGGGAGCTGGGGCCAAGGTGTTCACCTCAGGGCTACCACTGTGGATTAAATATTAAGTAACCTTTTCTTCTGGCCCCCTCTCCTAAACTGGGATCTTTCCATGTTGGGTGTGGTCTTTTGCACCTAGAGGAAGCTGCAGAGGTTCAACAAATCACTACATTACTGAAGTCACTCAGTATTTCTGGCGTGCAAAAAAAAAAAAAAAAAAAAATTAGCAAATTGACCGAGATGACATTGGACAAAAAATGACTTCAGGTGGGCTTGGACTTTAAAAGATGAAATGAATGGTAATGCTTGGCTCTAAATGACAGAAGGCATTTGCAAACCACTACACTGTCTTAAGGGATATTGCATAAAAAGAGAATAGCAAAACTCTCTACATTTTGGTGGTACCAGAAGCACTGTCTTCAAATGTTAAAGACATTATAGGCAAATGTATAGGAATAGACAGAAGGAGAGAGATAAATATTTATGTTTTAAAAAATGAGCCAGTAGTAATCTTGGCTAATTCTGTCCACACTTACTTATTATTCAAAGGTTAACATAAAAGTGTGAAAATTTTTACAAAGCTTAAAAATTATAATATATAGTTTATTCGAGGAATAATCCCCTCAGAATTGGTTATTACCAGTATTAATGACGTGCTAGTTAAAGTGTTAATGGCCCATAGCAAAAAACTGCTGGTAATGACTGATTTCAAAGGGATTATTGCTTACTTAATGGTACTGCACCTATCTTTAGTCATTTTGGTAAGTATCATTTTTACTGCCTATTTCAAGACCCTGAAGCTTAGTTTATTACATTTAAAAGAATGGCACCAAGGCAGATAAAATAGATAATAATCTTTTGACTGTGGTTAGCTTTGCAATGTGTGGGCATTTCACTAAATTATTTCAATATTTCTTTGTCCCTTATTAATAAGATGTCACTTGTGACTTACGGGTGGGTTACAAAAAATATGACTTAACAATTGAATTATTGTTGAATCAATGGAAAAAAATTTGCACATATCCCATTTGGATTGGGTCATAAATGGGAAATACAAATAAGATGAGGTATTTTCTTTTGGAAATAGTATATGCAGAGAATGCTAAACAGCATGCCATGTGAGCTGGATTTTGGTTTCAGCTCAGTTTCAGAGTGGTTATTCAGTTTGCTTTTCTGAATTTTACTTTTACCACTTGTAAAATGAGGCTGTTGGACTAGATCGCATCTTAGTTCTTCATAGCTATTAAATTCTACAATCATAAATTACAGTTTAAAAAGGGCGAACAGGAAGATACATTTGCATTAGAGCTACAGAAAATTCTTTTTCAATAAACGTTATAGAATAACCAAATTATTTCTTATACTAAACATGAACCGTTTGAGTATTGTTTGAAGTAAATGGGCCACTATCTAGAGTTTGAAAAATAAAAATATTTTTGTTGTGACAATATTAAGTTTTGCGGACTTTGACACAGCTCAGTTTCTAACTGGTGAGTGATTTGGGGCAAACCCGACACCAAAGGTGGGCCAACTTCATGAACTATCTTATATCACATAACGAGATGGAACTTGACATTAATAAAAATACCTGACAACAACAGTAAAAAGTCATTGAAATTCATATTCCCACAAACTGGTTTCAGTTTCTGAAATTATTAAGTTCTAAACTATATGTCTTATTTTGCTTAATTTGGAAACATGCCTTATAAGACTGGACTCTGAAAGATTTTTAACTCATCTTCTAAGTCAATGGTTCTTAAGGTGTGCTCTGAGTATCCTGGGTTCTTTCAGGAGGTTCATGAAGCCAAACTTCTTTATTATAATAATACAAAGAAGTTATTTGTGTTTTTCATCCACACTCTGTCATGAGAGTAGAGTAGAGTTTTCCAAAGGTTTCATGGCACATGATAATACTGTGTAATGAAATGTGTCAATATTTGAAAGATCTGCACAACTCGGCAAACCAATATTTTCCAAATAATCAATGTATGACGTTATAAAATTATGCATGGATAAATGATTCTTTCAAAGTGCAAGATAAACTAGTGGATTTTAATGTAACAGAGTATGAAAAGTTTATTGATGTAGTTTCAGATTTCACTTTGCACCTAACCATTAAGGAAGTACCACTTGTTGAGTTTTGGCATAATATCAAAGAAGGTTATCATAATTACCTGAAAAGACTATTGAAACAATCCACTCTTCAACTACATATGTGTGAGAATCTGGATTTTCTTTATATACTTTAATTAAAATAATATTATAACAGATTGAAGGCAGAAGCACATATAAAAATCTGTGTTCTACTGAGCAAGATATTAATATAATATTTACATAAAAAATATAAAATAATGCTACTTGTCTCAAATTTTTTTTGTTTGGGAAAACAGTGATTTATTATTATTATTATTGTTATTATTATTATACTTTAAGTTTTAGGGTACATGTGCACAATGTGCAGGTTTGTTACATTTGTATACATGTGCCATGTTGGTGTGCTGCACCCATTAACTCGTCATTTAGCATTAGGTATATCTCCTAATGCTATCCCTCCCCCCTCCCCCCACCCCACAACAGTCCCCAGAGTGTGGTGTTCCCCTTCCTGTGTCCATGTGTTCTCATTGTTCAATTCCCACATATGAGTGAGAACATGCGGTGTTTGGTTTTTTGTTCTTGCGACAGTTTGCTGAGAATGATGGTTTCCAGCTTCATCCATGTCCCTACAAAGGACATGAACTCATCATTTTTTATGGCTGCATAGTATTCCATGGTGTATATGTGCCACATTTTCTTAATCCAGTCTATCATTGTTGGACATTTGGGTTGGTTCCAAGTCTTTGCTATTGTGAATAGTGCCACAATAAACATACGTGTGCATGTGTCTTTATAGCAGCATGATTTATAATCCTTTGGGTATATACCCAGTAATGGGATGGCTGGGTCAAATGGTATTTCTAGTTCTAGATCCCTGAGGAATCGCCACACTGACTTCCACAATGGTTGAACTAGTTTACAGTCCCACCAACAGTGTAAAAGTGTTCCTATTTTTCCACATCCTTTCCAGCACCTGTTGTTTCCTGACTTTTTAATGATCGCCATTCTAACTGGTATGAGATGGTATCCCATTGTGGTTTTGATTTGCATTTCTCTGATGGCCAGTGATGATGAGCATTTTTTCATGTGTTTTTTGGCTGCACCAGCATCATTCTGATATCAAAGCCTGGCAGAGACACAACAAAAAAGAGAATTTTAGACCAATATCCTTCATGAACATTGACGCAAAAATCCTCAATAAAATACTGGCAAACCAAATCCAGCAAAACATCAAAAAGCTTATCCACCATGATCAAGTGGGCTTCATCCCTGGGATGCAAGGCTGGTTCAACATACGAAAATCAATAAATGTAATCCAGCATATAAACAGAACCAAAGACAAAAACCACATGATTATCTCAATAGATGCAGAAAAGGCCTTTGACAAAATTCAGCAACCCTTCATGCTAAAAACTCTCAATAAATTAGGTATTGATGGGCTGTATCTCAAAATAATAAGAGCTGTCTCTGACAAACCCACAGACAATATCATACTGAATGGATAAAAACTGGAAGCATTCCCTTTGAAAACTGGCACAAGACAGGGATGCCCTCTCTCACCACTCCTATTCAACATAGTGTTGGAAGTTCTGGCCAGGGCAATCAGGCAGGAGAAGGAAATAAAGGGCATTCAATTAGGAAAAGAGGAAGTCAAATTGTCCCTGCTTGCAGATGACATGATTGTATATCTAGAAAACCCCATTGTCTCAGCCCAAAATCTCCTTAAGCTGATAAGCAACTTCAGCAAAGTCTCAGGATACAAAATCAATGTGCAAAAATCACAAGCATTCTTATACACCAATAACAGACAAACAGAGAGCCAAATCATGAGTGAACTCCCATTCACAATTGCTTCAAAGAGAATAAAATACCTAGGAATCCAACTTACAAGGGATGTGAAGGACCACTTCCAGGAGAACTACAAACCACTGCTCAATGAAATAAAAGAGGATACAAACAAATGGAGAACATTCCATGCTCGTGGGTAGGAAGAATCAATATCGTGAAAATGGCCATACTGCCCAAGGTAATTTATAGATTCAATGCCATCCCCATCAAGCTACCAATGACTTTCTTCACAGAATTGGAAAAAACTACTTTAAAGTTCATATGGAACCAAAAAAGAGCCCGCATCACCAAGTCAATCCTAAGCCAAAAGAACAAAGCTGGAGGCATCATGCTACCTGACTTCAAACTATACTACAAGGCTACAGTAACCAAAACAGCATGGTACTGGTACCAAAACAGAGATATAGACCAATGGAACAGAACAGAGCCCTCAGAAATAACGCCGCATATCTACAACTATCTGATCTTTGACAAACCTGAGAAAAACAAGCAATGGGGAAAGGATTCCCTATTTAATAAATGGTGCTGGGAAAACTGGCTAGCCATATGTAGAAAGCTGAAACTGGATCCCTTCCTTACACCTTATACAAAAATTAATTCAAGATGGATTAAAGACTTGAATGTTAGACCTAAACCCATAAAAACCCTAGAGGAAAACCTAGGCAATACCATTCAGGACATAGGCATGGGCAAGGACTTCATGTCTAAATCACCAAAAGCAATGGCAACAAAAGTCAAAATTGACAAATGGGATCTAATTAAACTAAAGAGCTTCTGCACAGCAAAAGAAACCACCATCAGAGTGAACAGGCAACCTACAGAATGGGAGAAAATTTTTGCAACCTACTTATCTGACAAAGGGCTAATATCCAGAATCTACAATGAACTCAAACAAATTTACAAGAAAAAAACAAACAACCCCATCAAAAAGTGGGTTGATATGAAAACAGAGATTTTTTAAAATAAAAATGTTTTTCTGTTAACATATAATCGATTTACATTGCTATTTAAAAATGGATTAATCAATAAATATTTAAAAAATTTCTACTTTAATTTTTAATATGGCAAATATTGATAATATAATTCACATGAACAAAAACTCTTTGGGATACTCCATAATTTTTACCTGTGTAAAATGACCATGGGACCCCAAATTTTGAGAATAGCTGTTCTAAGTCGATTATATTTCTGAAGAACTACTTTCTATTATTGTGAACTCTAAAAAAATGTACTATAGTTTCTGAAGGCAATTTCCAAGGGCGACTTCTGACAATGTTCTGAGATATGACACATCATTGAAATGAATGCTTTGTTTCCCAAGGTAAGTATTTACATGGGTCAACCTTATTTGGATGTAGAATTCTGATAGGTTTAATTTTTTTAAAAATAGCGTTGTAGTGTTTAGATTCACATCTTGTATGTATTGGAGAGTATGTAGAAGAAAAGCAACTGTCTTACCTGAAAATGAATGAAACAGCTAATTAATGTGATGTGACCTTGTTACTTTCAGAAGCCTGCATGATAAGTCCTGAGACCTGACCCTGTGCTTCCAGAGCCTTGGGTCCCTCTGAGTCCTTAGCTCTGGATCTGTATTGTTTGGGGTTGAAGAGATTCCCCACTTAGGGGAAGTGATTTTGAAAATGTCCATGGCAGTCTCCATATATGCCCATGGCAGCCTTTTCAGTATATTTGAGCCTTCTTCTCTTTCAGGGCAGAGCAGATACAAGAGGACATGAGCAGGGACAAGCCATTGGCACTCACTTATTTCCTCTTCCCTTTAACATGCTGAATTATCAGTAAACTTGAATATCTGAGACTGCTCCAAATTGAGTTCTTGTACATATGCAGCAAGCTCTGCAAAGAGCCTTACTACTTTGGTATTAAAGTCAGCTTCTGAAAAGAGAAGAAAGGATGGAGCTGTATGTTCCATATTTGCTTTCAACTGCGTGTAATGGCAAGTGATTAAAGAGGTCAAACTCATGTCCTGCATCGCACAAAACATCTGTAATGGGGATCCTGTAGAGAGGTATATCCCGTTCTTATTCTGTGCTTTGGCATTTATACAGGGTGAGAAGGTGATTAAACAATGATAGAAGTTTATACTAGGATATTAATTACATAATATGTATTAACCCCCTATGGAGTGTTTACATTTTTACCAGAATAATCAATCTGGAGAAGAATTTTGAATAAAAGAATGGATAATTGTGAAGTTATCTAGGCAAAGATTGGGTACTCTCTTTCCGGGGCTACTCACATCACATGACATAGGGGAAAGCCTAGTAATCAAATACTAATAAAATAAAAAATGGAATACTAAAAAAACCTGCCAATAAAATCAGCAGCTTTCCCCCATAGCTAATTCCAAACTTTCCTCTGACTTTCTAAGTATTTTCATTGATGCCCTAGTCCAGTGCTCAATTCTGGCTATTCATCAGAACTACTAGGGGAGAATTTAAATTTTTATTAGAAAATAATATATTTTTATGGTAAAAAATGTTCAAATGGTTCAAATAGCATTACATAAAATGTAAAATTCTGCCATCCTTTTTATATTCCTCAGAGCTTTGTACCTTATGCCTGTCTTTTCCCCTCCCTCCCTCCCTCCCTCCTTCCTTCCTTCCTTCCCTCCTTCCTTCCTTCCTTCCTTCCTTCCTTCTTCCTTCATCAAAGATTTATTAAGCATGTGCTATATATCAGGCACTGTTCAAACTGGGGGGGACACAGTGAACAGGACAGATGAAATTCTTGTCTAGCGGGGCTTACTATAACTTTTGAAATAAACAAATAAAAGGATAATAGATGGAAAGTATGAAGAGGTATGGGATAAAAAGAGCATAATGGACAGGAAGCGACTGTGGGACGGAGTGAGATAAGCCAGAAACTAAAAAAGTTTCAGTTGTAGTTTTTCCTAATGGTTGCTGCTATAATTCTGAGTAATATACCTGTAAGTCTATTTCTTAATTTATCAGCTTTAGTCACTATTGACTCCTCATCATGAAAATTAAGGTATTTAGCTTTCATATAATTGTTCCTCCTCTATCCCACCTTTCCTCAATTTTGTTATTTATATGTTAGTCCTCTAATTGTTTACCTTCACAACTAGAATCTTTATTCCTATTTGGTCAATTTGGACAGTATCATCTGACTCTAGGGAGAATTATGTAAACTCATATTCCTGAACTATACTCTAGATGTACAAGCTTCTCTGGGGGCAGAACTTGGCATCTTTATTTGAAAACAAAAGCTTTCAGAAGATTCTAGTGATCACCTGATGGGTTGCCATTGCCCTAGTCTATATCTACTCTTCCTCCAGAAACTGAGTGATCCATCCATGCTCTAACACACTGTTTCTTCAGATTTCTGCACATCACACAGTTCATAGATATGCAACTGACATCAATATTTAAAATATATTTTTGCTTTAAATGAAGATATATACTGTCATGGTAGAGCAACTCAGAGCCATGCAACACCTTTTGTAGCAACGAAAATACATAAAACGATATTTTGGATAGTTGGGGCAGTAAAGAGCTCATTTAAGGAGGAATGTCAGGGTTTTTTGTTCACGCGCAGAAGGGCTAATTGTGAGCAGAAAACAAATTTGTTAGATAGATGTGGGGTAGCTTGTCTAATCACTGGAAGGCTGGACAATGAGGTCCGAGGCTGGACAGGGATCAGTAATGTTGTCTGGAATCATGCAGCAGACAGGCCCTGTCAGGACAGAGCCCAGATATTATTGCAGCTTGTACTGTGGACCCAGCCGACACCTAGCACTTTCCAGTGCTGCCATTTTCTACTCCAGAAACCCTCTCTTACTGCTGGCAATATTGCTACTTCCAGAGAGTCCCTCCAGTTCTGTCTTCTTTGTCTCTAACTATAGATTTAGTCCAGGCAGGTGTGTGTAGTTAGCAGAACTTAGGTTTCTTCCTGTTCCTAGCTGCAAGGAAGGCAGGGAAGGCAGGAAGCTGTCACTATCAGCTTCTCTAACGGTATCTATAAGGTGGACAATTCTTCACGAATAAGAAGTTTCGAATGCAGGGTGGTCAAATGTTTACTACGATAAACATTTTGAGAAACATACCCAGCATGCCTTGAACCCAGTGACCCAGTTGAGAACCACTCCTTTAGCCTGTGTATGTAGTCTCATCTTCTCCTTAATTTCAGGATTTAACTAGAAGCACCTGAAAATAGGGACAGTGCCTTCTCTTTCTTGGCCGGCTGCGTCATTCACATGGCATTTGTCAAGATAAGTACCTTGTAGCTGGGTATTTAGAATGCGTGTACGTGTGTTGTGTGTGTATGTGGTGGAGATGAAGAAAGGTTAGGGCTGCACATGTATTTTCTCTAAAAATAGAGTGAAGATCTGGTAGGAAAAGTTCATGTCTTATTCAGAAGATGTATTAGTCTGCTGGGCCTCCCATAGCACAATGACCATAGACTGGGTGGCTTAAACAACAGAAATTTATTTTCTTACAGTTCCAGAGGGCAGAGGTCCAACACTATGGTATTGGCAGATTTTGGCTTGAGGGTGGCTATGGTCTTAGTCCATTCTCAAATTGCTATAGAAAAATGCTGGAGACTGGGTAACTTATAAAGAAAAGAGGTTTCATTGGCTCACAGTTATGCAGGCTGTACAGGAAGCATAGCAGCTTCTGCTTCTGGGGAGGCCTCAGGAAATTTCCAATCATGGTGGAAGGTGAAGCGGGAGCAGGCTTACCTTCCAGGGCAGGAGCAGGAGCAAGGGGGCAGGGTAAGTGCTACACACTTTTAAATGACCAGATCTCTTGAGAACTCACTATCATGAAAGCAGCACAAAGGGGAAATCCGCCCCATGATCCAGCCACCCCTGACCAGGCGTCACCTCCCACTAGGCCTCACCTCCAACACTGGGGATTACAATTCAACATGAGATTTCAGCAGGGACGCAGATCCAAAACATATCAGCTGCCTTCTCACTGTGTTCTTATGCAGTCTTTTCTCTGTGCACACACATCCCTGGTGTCTCTCAATGTGTCCTAATATCCTTTGCTTATAAGGATGCCAGTCAGATTGGATTAAAGCGTACCCATATGACCTCAATCAATGTCAATCACCTCTTTTAAAGGCCCTATCTCCCAATATGGTCACATTCTGAAATACTGGGGATTAGGGCTTCAATATATGAATTTTGGGGAGACATAATTCAGCCCATCACAGAAGAGCAGCACCAGAAGGAATCATTGAGATGATCTTGCCTGAAAGTTTCATTTTGGCAAACCAGCATTTCTTCGTTCTTCTTTCTACAACAGCGGCCTGGTTTCTCTGCATAACTAACTGTGCTCCAACCTCTTCAGGGTAGTTGTTGTCCCCCTGGACTTTACACGTGTGCATCACATTTTCCCAGCTATAGGCAGCGAGTAGCACACCATGCAGTCAAAGCAATGAGATGCAAAGACATATTTGGATATTAGGAAAAAGGCGGGTGCTCTTTCTACTGGGTTGGCAAGTGGTGGGGACTGTGTGAGCCAGACCAAGGATAACTGTGGAGTGCATGAGAATGGAGCTAACAGCACAAGGCAAAGCCAAGAAGTGGAGAATCTTGGTGTCATGGTTCAAGTTCTTGGATAAAACTGAACTCAATGTCAGAATGATGCCTTGGCTTCTTAATGAGCCTCCTTTCCTGTCTTAGTCTGTTTAAATTAGTTTTTTTATATGCAAGACTTCTAAAGCATGTGCATCCTATTAATATACAAACACTTCCATTTTTTAGAGAAGAATAAAGAGAACTGTGAAGAGATTTGAGTATCTAAGGACTCACAGTGGAGAAATATAGACTTGAAATCATTTGCTCATTCCACATCTTTGAATACCCCATAGCACAGTTTCTTGCTCGTTAATACTCGATTGACATTTGTTCAATGAATAAAAGAATGTATTTGAATCTTAATTTAAATATTTTATTTTAGCTCTTTTTTTTTTTAAAAAAAGAAGATACTGTTGCACAATTGATATTTTTATACAGCAGGTCATCAAATAACATAATTTCATTCAATGTTGCTTTGTTATAACATAAATGAGAAAACAAAATTGATTCTTGGCAGGGGCCACTGTCTATGTTGAGTCTACACACCCTCCGAAATCCATGTGGGTTTTTTCTGACTACTCCAGTTTGCTCCCACAACCCAAAGCTGTGCACATTAGGTTCACTGGTGTGACTACATTGTCTCAACCTGAGTGTGTGTGTGTGTGTGTGTGTGTGTTTGTATGTATGTGTACACTGCACTGGAATGGTTTCCTGTCCAGGGATGGTTCCTGCCTTGGGCCCTGTCTGCTACCCTTGGCCATGAACTGGAATAATTGGGTAAATAATGATCTTAATTGTTTTTATTTTTCTTTCTTAAATGTATGTATAGCTCACATTTACTTCAATGCTTAATATTACAAGTGTTTTGGTCTTTACTTAAAAGTTTGGTGATGTTTTTTGACCAGAAATATGTTATAGAAGCTTAATTTTTGTTTATTTCAATTAACCTAGTGTAAAATTTGTTTTATTATACCATCTTGCTGAAAGTTGCAGTTTCCAATAATCTATTGATGATGTTAAGTGAGGACTGACTGTATTTCTAACATTGCAAAAATGATCTCAACATACCTCTTCTAAAGGTAAGGCTAAGTTAATTTTAAAGCCTTCAGGTAGGCCCATCCTGCTTACCCTGTGTCCTCAATGCAAATTAATGATGCTCAGCCTGCACTTTCTTTTAGTATTTCCAGACTCCTGAAGCATGTGTATCCTATCTCCCAGCCCACCTTGCACTTACACAAATGATTAACTACATAGAGAGGGCTCATTTCTCCTAAGTGGAGCTGCAGTATTATTTTTTAGAAGGAAAATATGTGGGTGAACCAGCACTTACTCAACCTAACTATATCTAAATTTCAAATATCTGCTATACATATATTATTTATTCATTAATGAAAAAAATAGAGAAGATGCTGGCTTCAAAAAACATTAAAAAAAACTCAACCATTACAAATGAGGGAAAATTGGGAGGTGGTGTTACATGTATGTAAAACTTTTTCCCCCCAAAAAGGAGGACATAGAGAGATTAAAGAATATTCACAAATCATCAGT
The DNA here is from genome assembly GCF_000001405.40 of Homo sapiens. Taxonomy (NCBI): domain Eukaryota; kingdom Metazoa; phylum Chordata; class Mammalia; order Primates; family Hominidae; genus Homo; species Homo sapiens. The sequence goes on along the minus strand of NC_000012.12, from coordinate 41,815,715 downwards.
GTGTCTGCTGTTTTAATTTAGCCTTACGAATAAGTTTAAAAATTTACCATCTTGCACAGGGTTTTATCAGTCCACCTTCCCTCCAAGGAGATAAAATAAATGAAATCAGCATTTCTTCCAACTCCCTTGGCATAAATTATTACTTACCCTAAGCAAGATGACTGATGATTTTTAAAGCTCTTTAATTATATGCTAAATGGATTAGTGGCTGAAGGGAAGTCCTTTTAGAGCAGTGAACCGGGATTATTCCACAAATACCTGTATGTTGAGGTGGGTACTGTACCTCCAAAACTGTTGACGTGTGAAAGGTCTATTCTCTATGTCAGCAGGGACCACAAATACCTTAATAAATAATAGAAACTTGGCAAAAATTTTGTCAGAGTGATTTTTTCTTCACCATCATCTGGGGTGAAGTAAAGAAAGGACCAAAAAAGATTATTCAATATTAAGTACTTTGAGCACAGAAATTCTTCTTGCCTCCTATACAGAAAATAAACTAATAGATTTAGAATGAGGGATTTTAAAAACAGCAAGCATTTTCCCCAAGCAGAAACACTTACATGGGCTTTTATTAGAACATAAAGAATTGAGGGAGTTATTTAGGTAATTAAGACCTCCAACTTTTAAGAAATTTCTGAGTGGCTGGGGCACACTAAAAGCCTGTCATCTACCATCTTGGAAAACAAAAAGAGTTGGAGGTCTTAGACCCTGGGGAGGAGAATGCAGGCAAACAGCATTCTCTCAAACACACTGATAGAAGTGCGTGAAGCCTCAGTACATGAGAGAGGCAGAAAGCCTCCCTCTGTGACTTACGTTTCCACTGGGGATGTGAGCATCCCAGGCTGCAGGAGAGCATTTTGTTCCTCCCAAGCCCTGGAGCTAACTTGGGGAGAGGCTTGGAGATGCTGAGAGGGAAGGACACTGGAAACGTTGCAGGCATTTTCCCAGACCTAGGAGGGAGAGCAGGATTCAATTTTTAAACCAGATGCATACAAAGTCAGTCATTCTTTGGTGACCTGGCAATGTGGCCATGCAGGCATTTTTCTCGGGCCAGAGATTGGAGCAACCCCCCTGGAGTGGGACCTCCACAGCCAGAATTGTGGAAAACACCTCAGCAGTAGGTGCTGGAATTGTGCTCTCCCTGTTGCAGGCCTTGGGTGGTAGGAGAGCTGCTACAGTTGTGGTTTCTCCTGGGCAATGAGACTTGCAACTGGGGCCAGCTTGGAGACCTGGAACTGATCTGTGTGTGTCATTGCTGGCTGCCCCGGCCTGCTCCTCTGAGATTGTGGTGCAGTGGGGCCCTGTCTGCTCCACACCCAGGCAGATCTCTAGGCATTCAGAACCCCTGCTTGCCTGGTTCAGCAGCCTGAGCCTCCCCCCTCTTCTTGGACATAGATTGTGGTGCAGTGAGTCCCCCTTCACTCTACCCCCAGGCAGAACTCCAGGCATTTGGAGCACCTGCTTGCCTAAGCCAGCATCCTGAGCTGCCCCACCCTTCCTGGGCATAGATTGAGATATAGCAGGCCCTCTCCACTCTATGTGCAGCTAGATCTCCAGGCATTCAAAGCAACTGCTTGCCCAGATTGGTAGCCTGAGCTGTCCCACCCTTCCTGTGCAGAGATCATGGGGAAGCAGGGCCCTCTACACTCCATTCCCAGGCCAATCTCCAGGCATTTGGAGCATACACTTATCTGAATCAGCAGCCTAAATTGCCCATGCCTCCTGTGCAGAGGGCCATCTCTGTTTTACACCCAGGCAGATCTCCAGACAGAGCACCTGCTGGCCTGAATCAGCAGCCTGAGCTGGCCCACCCTTTCTGTGCAGAGGCCACAGTGAAGCAGGGAGGACTCTGTCCACTCTATGCCCAGGCAGATCACCAAGCATCTGGAACACCCATTCTCCTGCATTAGGAGTTTAGACCACTTCTCCTCCCTGTACAGAACTTGGGGCCAAGAGAACTTGGGGCCAAGAAAGTTTCCCAGTTCTACACATAGGCACAACTCTAGGTGCTTGGTGGCTGCTCACTGAATTCTCCTTTTGTGCTGGTGCCTGTGCCTGTCATTGGGGTACCTGTAGGTGGGCCTACCTGTTCTGGCCCTGCCCATCTTTCCTCCCACTCCCCTGAACAGGGAGCTCAGACCACTGTGCACTCCATAGATCAGCCCATTGCCTGAGGCAATGGAGAACTTCGCCCAGTACGTAAGGACTAAATATATACATAAGTATATACCCATAACTGCATTCTACTTTCTACTAGCTTACAGGTCAAACTGCACAGCCCAACAGAATACAATCTTCCAACAGAAGTGCGTAGGGCTATAAAAGCAATGCCAAAAGACCCTACCCAACATTCTCTACAGTCACACTCCCTTGGTGGGTGGAGGATAGGGAAAACAAAAATCCAATAATATTATAGAGAAAGAAAGAAAAAGTAATCCTACCCACAAGATAATTACACAAATCAGAAGTGCCAGAAATTTCAGATTAAAAGGAACCAGCATAAGAATTATGGCACCATGAGAAATTTGAATGTAGTGACACCACCAAAGGATTAACTAGCTCTCCAGCAATGGTTGCTAACCAAAATGGAAACTCAGAAATGACAAACAAAGAATTCAAAGCATGGCTTGCAAGAAAGCTTAACAATATCCAAGATATGGTTGAAAATTAACACAAAGAAACTTCTAAAGCAATCCAAGAAATGTAGGAAGAGATGAACATCTTAAAAAGAAATCTGTCAAATTTTCTGGAATTGAAAAACTCACTTAAGGAACTTCAAAATGCAATGGAAAGCTTTATCAATAGACTAGACCAAGCAGAAGGAAGAATTTCAGAGCTTGAAGACCAATCTTTTCAACAAACCCAGTCAGACAAAAATAGAGAAAAACTTTTTAAAGATGAACAAAGTCTTTGAGAAATGTAGGATTACGTCAAGCAACCAAGCCTGTGAATTATTGGCATTCCTGAGAGAGAGGGAGAAAAAGTAAACAACCTGAAAAACACATTTGAGGGAATAATTTAAGAAAATTTTTCAAATCTTGCTAGACAGGTATACATCCAGATACAAGAAATCCAGAGAATGCCTGTGAGATACTATACAAAACTGACATCACCAAGGCATATTGTTACCAGATTGTCCAAGGTCAGTGCTAAAGAAATAATCGTAGTGGCATCTACAGAAAAAGGTCAGATCATGTACAAAGGGAATCCCATCAAGCTAACAGTGGACTTCTTAGCAGAAACCTTACAAGCCAGGAAAGATTGAGGGCCTATTCTTAGCATTCTTAAAGAAAAATTCCAGCCAAGAATTTCATATCCCACCAAACTAAGCTTATTAAAAGAGAAATAAAATATTTTCCAGACAAGCAAGTCCTAAGGGAATTTTTTTACCACTAGGCTAGCCTTAAAATAGATCCTCAAGGGAGTTCAAAATGTGGAAAAGAAAGAACAATACCTGCTACCACAGAAATACATTTAAGTACAGTGTAGAAAAGCAGTTCCCTGTGGAAACCACTATGGAGATTTCTCAAGGAATTTAAAACAGAACTATCATTCAACTCAGAAAACCTATTACTGGGTATATATCCAAAGTAAAATAGATCATTATACCAAAAAGACACATGCAGTCATATGTTTGTCACTGTTCTATTTACAATAGCAGACGTTGAATCAACCTAGGTGCCTATGAGTTGTGGATTGGATAAAGAAAATGTGGTACAAATACACCATGGAATATTACACAGACCATAGACCCTATAAAGCAAGCACACAATGGAAACTACAAAGCAACCAGCTAAGAACTTCACAATAGCATCTAAACCTCATATATCAATATTGACCTTGAATGTAAATGTCTCACCTAAAAGGCACGGAGTTGCCAATTGGATAAAAAAATAAGACCCATCCATCTGCTATCTTCAAGAGTCTGATTTCACATGTAATGATATACATAAGCTCTAAGTAAAGGGTAGGAGAAAAATCACACAAACAAGAAATTAAAAAAGAGCAGCGGTCACTATTCTTACAGCAGATAAAACAGACTTTAAACCAACAAAAGTACAAAGGAACAAAGACAGGCATTATATAATGATAAGGGGTTCAATTCACAAGGAGACTTAACTATCTTAAATATATATACACCTAATATTGGAGCACCCAGATTCATGAAACAAGTACTTCTAGACCTACGAAAGGACTCAGACAGCCACACAATAACAGTGAGGAACTTCAACACCCACTGACTATGTAAGACAGATCATCAAGGCAGAAACTGACAAAGAAATTCTGGACTTAAAATTGACACTTGACCAATTGGATTTAATAAACATCTACAGGCTATTTCATCCAACAACCACAGAATATACATTCTTCTCAACTGCACATGAGATATACTCTAAGATTGATTGCATGCTAGGCTATAAAGCAAGTTTCAAAACATTTAAAAAAATTGAAATCACAGCAACCATAATCTTGGACCATAGTGGAATAAAAACAGAAATCAATTCTGAGGTCTCTCAAAACTACATAGTTACATGGAAATTAAACAACTTGCTCCTAAATGACTTTTGGGTAAACAGTGAAATTAAGGCAGAAATCAAAAAATTCTTTGAAATAAATGAAAACAGAGACAAAACATAATGAAATCTCTGGCATGCAGCAAAAGCAGTGGTAAGAGGGAAGTTTATAGCACTAAATGCCTATCTCAAAAGGTTAGAAAGATCTCAAATAAACAATCTAACATCACACCTAGGGGTATTAAAAAAAAACAAGAACAAACCCCAAAGTTGGCAGAAGAAAATAAATAACGAAATCAGAGAAGATCTGAATTAAATTGAGACACAAAAATCTATAAAGAATCAATGAAACAAAAAGTTGGTTATTTGAAAGGATAAACAGTATAGACCACTAGCTAGAATAGAAACAACAAAAAAGACATTACAATCGATCCTACAGAAATACAAAAAATTAACAGAGACTTATGAACACCTCTGTGCATACAAACTAGAAAATCCAGAGGAAATGGATACATTTCTGGAAACAGACCACCTCTCAAGACTGAAACAGGAAGAAATTAAAGCCTTGAATAGACCAATATTGAGTTCCAAAATTGAATCAGTAATAAAAAACTTACCAACCAAAAAAAGCCCCAAATCAGATGAATTCACAGCCAAATTCTATCAGATGTATAAAGAAGAGCTGGTACCAATTCTACTGAAACTATTCCAAAAAATGGAGAAGGAGAGACTCCTCCCTAACTCATCCTCTGAAGCCAGCATCACCATGATACCAAACCCTGGTAAAGATACAGTGAAAAAAGAAAACTATAGGACAATATCCCTGATGAAAATAGACACAAAAGTCCTCAACAAAATACCAGCCAATCAAATCCAGCAGTATATTAAAAAGTTAATTTACTACAATCAAGTGGGCTTCATTCCTGTGATGCAAGGTTGGTTCAACATAAGCAAATCAATAAATGTGATTCACCACATAAAGAGAATTAAAAACAAAAACCATGTGATCATCTGACTAGAAATGGAAAAAGCATTCAATAAAATCCAACATCACTTCATGATAAAGACTCTCAACAAAGTAGACATTGAAGGAACATACCTCGAAATAATAAGAGCCATTTATGACAAACTGACAGCCAACATCACACTGAATGGGCAAAAGCTGGGAGCATTGCCCTTGAAAGTTGGGATGAGACAAGGATCCCCACCTTCACCACCCATATTCAACATAGTACTGGAAATCCTAGCCAGAGCAATCAATCAAGAGAAAGAAATGAAAAGCATCCAAATAGGAAATGGAGAAGTCAGACTATTTCTCTTCACTGATGATATGATTCTATACCTAGAAAACCCTGAAGTTTCCTCTGAAAGTCTCCTGGAGCTGATAAATGACTTCAGTAAAGTTTCAGGATACAAAATCAATGTACAAAAAGCAGAAGTATTTTATTTTTATTTTTATTTTACTTTAAGTTCTGGGATACATGTGCAGAATGTGTAGGTCTTTTACATAGGTATATGTGTGCCATGGCGGTTTGCTGCACCTGTCAACCCGTCATCTAGGTTTTAAGCCCTGCATGCATTAGGTGTTTGTCCTAATGCTCTCCCTCTCCTTGCCCCCTACACCCTGATGGGCCCCAGTGTGTGATGTTTCCCTCCCTGTGTCCATGTGTTCTCATTGTTCAACTCCCACTTATCAGTGAGAACAAGCGGTGTTTGTTTTTTTGTTCCTGTGTTAGTTTTCTGAGAATGATGGTTTCCAACTTCATCCATGTCCCTGCAAAGGACATGAACTCGTTCCTTTTTATGGCTGTTTAGTATTCCATGGTGTATATGTGCCACATTTTCTTTATCCAGTCTATCATTAATGGGCATTTGGGTTGGTTCCAAGTCTTTGCTATTGTGAATAGTGCTGCAATAAACATACGTGTGCATGTGTCTTAATAGTCAAATGATTCATATTCCTTTGGGTATATACCCAGCAATGAAATTGCTGGGTCAAATGATATTTCTGGTTCTAGACCCTTGAGGAATCGCCACACTGTCTTCCACAATGGTTGAACTAATTTACACTCTCACTAACAGTGTAAAGGCATTCCTATTTCTCCACATCTTTGCCAGCATCTGTTATTTCCTGACTTTTTAATGATCACCATTCTAAGTTGGTGTGAGATGGTATCTCATTGTGGTGTTGATTCACATTTCTCTAATGACCAGTGATGACGAGCTTTTTTTTCATATGTTTGTTGGCTGCATAAATGTCTTCTTTTGAGAAGTGTCTGTTCACATCCTTTGCCGACTTTTTGATGGGGTTGTTTGATTTTTCTTGTAATTTTGTTTAAGTTTCTTGTAGATTCTGGATATTAGCTCTTTGTCAGATGGATAAATTGCAAAAATTTTCTCCCATTCTGTAGGTTGCCTGTTCACTCTGATTATAGTTTCTTTTGCTGTGCAGAAGCTCTTTAGTTTAATTAGATCCCATTTCCCCATTTTGGCTTTTGTTGCAATTGCTTTTGATATTTTAGTTATGATGTCTTTGCCCATACCTATGTCTTGAATGGTAGTGCTGAGGTTTTCTTCTAGGGTTTTTATAGTTTTAGGTTTTATATTTTAAGTCTTTAATCCATCTTGAGTTAATTTTTGTATAGGGTGTAAGGAAGGGGTCCAGTTTCTGTGTTCTGCATATGGCTAGCCAGTTTTCCCAACACCGTTTATTAAATAGGAAATCCTTTCTCCATTGCTTGTTTTTGTCAGGTTTGTTGAAGATCAGATGGTTGTAAATGTGGGGTGTTATTTCTGAGGCCTCTGTTCTGTTCCCTTGGTCTATATATCTGTTTTGGTACCAGTACCATGCTGTTTTGGTTACTGTAGCCTTGTAGTATAGTTTGAAGTCAGGTAGCATGATGCCTCCAGCTTTGTTCTATTTACTTAGGATTGTCTTGGCTATATGGGCTCTTTTTTGGTTCCATATGAAATTTAATGTAGTTTTTTTCTAGTTCTGTGAAGAAAGTTAGTGGTAACTTGATGGGAATAGCATTGAATCTATAAATTACTTTAGGCAGTATGACCATTTTCACAATATTGATTCTCCCTATCCATGAGCATGGAATTTTTTTTCCATTTGTTTGTGTCCTCTCTTATTTCCTTGAGCAGTGGTTTGTAGTTCTCCTTGAAGAGGTCCTTCACGTCCTTTGTAAGTTGTATTCCTTAGTATTTTATTATCTTTGTGGCAATTGTGAATGGGAGTTCACACATGATTTGGCTCTGTGCTTGTCTATTATTGGTGTATAGGAATGCTTGTGATTTTTGCACATCGATTTTGTATTCTGAGACTTTCCTGAGGTTGCTTATCAGCTTAAGGAGTTTTGGGGCTGACGATGGGGTTTTCTAAATATACAGTCACATCATCTCCAAACAGAAATAATTTGATTCCCTCTCTTTCTGTTTGAATACACTCTATCTCATTCTCTTGCCTGATTGCCCTAGTCAGAACTTCCAGTACTATGTTGAATAGGAGTGGTGAGAGAGGGCATCTTGTCTTATGCCAGTTTTCTAAGGGAATTCTTCCAGCTTTTGCCCATTCAGCATGATATTTGCTATGGGTTTGTCATAAATAGCACTTCTTATTTTGAGATATGTTCCATCGATACCTAGTTTATTGAGTGTTTTTAGCATGAACGGGTGTTGAATTTTAACAAAGGCTTTTTCTGCATCTATTGAGATAATCATGTGGTTTTTGTCATTGGTTCTGTTTATGTGATGGATTACGTTTACTGATTTGCATATGTTGAACCAGCCTTATATCCCAGAGATGAAGCCGACTTGATCATGGTGGATAAGCTTTTTGATGTGCTGCTGGATTTCGTTTGCCAGTATTTTATTGAGGATTTTTGCATCGATGTTCATCAGGGATATTGGCCTGAAATTTTCTTATTTTGTTGTGTTTCTGCCAGGTTTTGGAATCAGGATGATGATGGCCTCATAAAATGAGTTAGGGAGGAGTCTCTCTTTTCTATTATTTGGAATAGTTTCAGAAGGAATGGTACCATCTCCTCTTTGAACCTCTGGTAGAATTCGGCTGTGAATCTGTCTTGTCCTGGGCTTTTTTTTATCTGCTAGGATATTAATTACTGCCTCAATTTCAGAACTTGTTATTGGTATATTCAGGGATTCGACTTCTTCCTGGTTTAGTCTTGGGAGGGTGTATGAATCCAGGAATTTATCAATTTCTTATAGATTTTCTAGTTTATTTGTGTAGAGGTGAAAAAACAGCAGCATTTCTATACACCAATAACATTCAAGCTGACAGCCAAATCAAGAAACAATTCCACTTACAATAGCCATAAAAAATAAAACCTAAGAATACATCTAATCAAGGATGTGAAATATCTTTACATGGAGATTTATAAAACACTGCTTAAAGAAATCATAGATGGCACAAACAAATGGAAAAACATTCCATGCCCATGGATTGGAAGAATCAATATCATTAAAATAGCCATACTGCCCAAAGCAATCTACAGGTTCACCGCTATTCCTATCAAACTAAACGTCATTTTTTTCACAGAATTAGAAAAAAACTTTTAAAATTCATATGAATCAAGTAGAACAGCCTGAATAGCCAAAGCAAACCTAAGCAACAAGAACAAAGTCAGAGGTATCACATTACCCAACTTCAAACTATTTGATAAGGCTACAGTAAGCAAACCAGCATGGTACTGGTACAAATACAGACACAGAGACCTATGAAACAGAATAGAGAGCCCAGAAATGAAGCTTCACACCTACAGCAATTTGATCTTCAAAAAAGTCAGTAAAAATAACAGGAAAATGACCTCCCGTTCAATAAATGGTGCTGGGATAGCTGGTGAGCCATATGCAGAAGAACGAAACTGCGTCATATACAAAAATTAACATAAGCTGAATTAAAGACTTAAATATGAAACCTCAAACTATAAGAATCCTAGAAGAAAACCTAGGAAGCACCATTTTGGACATCTGCCTTGGGAAAGAATTTATGCCTATGTCCTCAAAAGAAATTGCAAAAAAAAAAAAAAAAAAAACAAAAATTGACAAGTGTGCTTGACAACTGTGCTTCTGCACAGCAAAATAAACTATTAACAGAGTAGACAGATGACCTACAGAATGGGAGAAAATATTCACAAACTATTCATCCAACAAAGGTCTAATATCCACAATGTATAAGGAAGTTAAATAATTAAACAAGCAAAAAACGAACAATCCAATTAACAAGTGGGCAAAAGACCTAAACAGATATTTCTCAAAAGAACATACAAGTGGCCAACAAACATAAAAAAAGTGCTTAACATATTCATAGAGATTCAAATCAAAATCAAAATTTGATTCAAATCAAAATCACAATGAGACACCATCTCACACCAGTCAGAATGGCTGTTATTAAAAAGTCAAAAAAACAACAGATGCTGGTGAGACTGTGGAGGAAAAAAACCCCACATATATACTGTTGTTGAGAATGTAAATTAATTCAGTCAATGTGGAAAGCAGTTTGGAGATTTCTCAAATAATTTAAAACAGAACTACCATTCAACCCAGCATTCCCATTACTGGATATATACCCAAAGGAAAATAGAACATTATACAAAAAAAGCCACATGCACTTATATGTTTGTTGCCACTCAATTCATAATAGCAAAGACATGGAATTAACCTAGGTGCCCATCAGTCGTGGATTGATAAGGAAAGTGTGGTACAAATACACCATAAAATACTACGTGGCCATAGAGAAGAATGAAATCACATCCTTTGCAGTAATATGGTGGAGCTGGGGGCCATTATCCTAAGCGAATCAATACAGGAACAAAACACTAAATACCGTATGTTCTCACTTATAAGTAGGAGCTAAACACTGGGTACACATGAACATGAAGATGGCAGTGATAGACATGGGGAATACTAGAGGAGGTAGGGGGGCAAGGTTTGAAAACCTATTGAGTACTGTGCTCACTATGTGGGTGATCGGATCTATTGTATCCCAAATCTCAACATCAGGCAATATATCCATGTAACAAACCTGCACTTATACCCCCTAAAGCTAAAAGACAAGTTGAAATTATTAAAAATAAAGACTTCCAAAAAGAAATATCATGAAAATTAATGTAGAAGCTGGTTTTTAAAGTTGTATTTTTTCTAAATTACCTGCTTGAAAAAATTGCTTGATTGTAACTGTTTTTGCACATTTCCCATCTTCTGAAAACTCATGCTCTATATTTATAGAAGGACTTTAATCTTCCTGAGGCCAGGACAGTGGGACTGTGTAGAAGGGAAAAATGTAAACCACACAGTGGCACTGAGTACATTTAATTTGTTATTATTAATAAAACAAAATATTTCCTATAAGCAAATAAATGCTGTGGTAGAATTCCAAAGCAGTATCCCCAAGATTCCTACCCCGTTATTCAATCAAACACTAACTTACATACTGCAGGAAAGGGACTTTGCAGATGGAATTAGGGTTACTTATCAGCTGACCTTAAAATAGGGAGATTACCTGGAGTATGTGAGTGGGTCCAATGTTAATCACAAGAGCATTGAGAAGTAGAAGAGGGAGGAAAGTAGAAGTGTCAAGTCAGAGAGATGTGGTGGAAGAGGAAGTAGCAGAGGAGTGATGTGGAAAAGGAAAAGGGGATGTCAGGGAGATTAGAAGTGTGAGAAGGATTCAATATTTGAAGATAGAGAGCCAGTGCCATGACTCAAGAAATGTGGGCAATCTCTAGGAGCTGAGAAAGAATTGCACCCATCCCTACCATCAACCAGTAAGGAAATGGGACCTTAGTTCTGTAGCAGCATGGAACTGAGTTTTGCCAACAGTCTGAATGATCCTGGAAGCTGATCCAGTCCCAGAGCCTCCAGAAGGAAATTAGTGCCTGCTAATTTTGATTTAGACCTTGTGATACTTTGAACAGAATGCAGCTTAGCCAACCTGGACTTCTGACCTACAGATACCGTGAGATAATACAGTTGTATTGTCTTAAGCCATTAAGTTTCTAGTAGTCTGTTATAGCAGCAATAGAAATGAACACAAATGCAAAGGAACTTAATACTACAAAATTGACCTTCAACTCGTAGCATATTGGAGATACTCAAAGAATGTCCTTTAAACAATTATACAACAAATGGAGCAAATGCAGCAAGCTCCATGCTAAAACTGGACTTTCTTACTTTATGTCCTCAGGAAGGAAAAATTTTATTTACTTAGCAAGAAAAACATACATGTAAGAAAAGATTCTTTTCCAGACATCCTCCTTCTTGAATGAAGATCGTGACTGTTATGCCATAAGAAAAAAGAAAAGAAAAAAACTAGTCTCCTTTTTCTATATCTTTCTAGTCTACACTACACTACATCAGATTTGTTTATCAGAAATAACTACCTACCATGATTTTCCATCTTGACAAACATCAATAAAGTAAAACACCTGGAGAGAATATTGATCAAGAGGTTTTTTTTTTTTTTTTTTTTTTTTGAATCTTAGCTTTAAATTCCGATTCTGCTGTGTATTGGTTAAGTGAGTTTGGGAAACTGAATTTTTCCATATCTTGACTCTTCTCATGGGTAAGATGAGGGTAAAGATTCTTACCTATACTGTGTTGTTGAAATAATTAAATGAAATAATGTGTATTTTCAAACACTGCCTAGCATACTGTAGGCATTCATCAAATAATAGTTATTCTTTTTACCACAAGTGGGTCTTTACCTGGAGTACCAAATCTTACTCTAATTATGGTCCAGTTTAAGTTGCACAATTGCTATTCTTAGATGCCCTTTATACTTCTCAGATGACCTATACTGATTATTCCATTTTTTTGACCACTTGTAATTGAGGAGTTTCTTTTGATATTTGTAAATATTATAAATGTTATAAGAATTTATAAATGACTTTGCTTCCTTAACTTTATTCTAAACTGTTTTTGAGCAGGAACCATAAGGCACACAGTAGGCTCTCAGGAAGCACATGTAGGTAGTTTAAACATCTTAGTAATGTAGTTTTCACTCTGCTTGATTATGTATGTCAGTGTGCACACATGCTTTATTTTTCCTGCACCAGGAATGCCAAAAAAATGTGAAGAAAAAAAATCCATCCTCACTGGACATAGAGCCAAGTCCCCAAGGCCAGCCATCTCACAAGAGAGACTAATCTTGAAGGAATGCCAGCATAATTTTGCAGACCTCTGAGATTTGGCTTGTTCAGATAAGTTTCAGATAAGCATCTGCACTTTTGGTGGCCCATCCAAATCCAATCCACACAGCCAGCCCAGAGAGCACCATCCATCACCGTGGCTGGAACGAGTGAAAATCCATCCTGATGGGGATTTATTGCAGAAAATAACCCTTCTTTTCTCTAAAATGATTTGTTTCAAATCTGGGCATCTTTACTCCTACTGAAAACTCCAGTGGCAAGCTGCACAGCTTTTTGATTTTTCCCAGTGCATTTTAATTAGCTACCTCTCAATCACTGACTTACACATTTCGGTGCATTGTGAAGAAGATAAAAAAGAAAATCTGATTCACCCTTAGGGAGGATTTCACAAGGAAACTGGAAATTTCTTTAGAATTATTGATCAGTACCTATCCTGGGCATAATTATACTGACGTTTTTTCTTCCTATGTCTTCCATTCGTTGAACATTTCTTTTTTCATTTATTTTTCTATCCTTTCTTAAAGTTTCATTATTTCATAAATTTTGGTGGTATTTTATCTTTCCTGACTCATAAAGAGACTTTGAAAATATATTCTGTGTCATCTCAGTATTTATATATTCAGTTCACCTTGATCATTTTCCACTGCGGATGGGCTTCCTGTACTAACTCTTTTCTCAGGGTGAATTGTGCATTCCTTTGGGTCTTGCAATGGGTGCATATGGAACTTGTGAGATCTATGGCTCAAGGCTCTGAGAGAACCCCTTTGCTGAGGAATACTTGGCAGCTTGGAATTGTTTTTGAAGCTGCTGGGTGCTTACTTCTTGCTGTTGTTTAGATATGGGTGTATTAGTTTCCTATTACTGCTGTAAGAAATTACCACAAATTTGGTGGCCTAAAACACCACACATGTATTCTCTTACAGTTCTAGAGGCCAGAAGATAAAAATCAGTTTCACTGGACTGAAATCAAGGTGTTAGCAAGGCCATGCTACCTCCGGAGGCTCTGGGGGAGAATCTATTCCTTGCTTCGTCCAGCCTCTGGCGACTGTGGCATTCCTTCACCTGCAGTCACATCACTCTAATTGCTGCCTCCTGGTCACATGCTCTTCTCACCTTCTGTCTGTAGTCTAATAAACTCACTCTACTTTCCTCTTGTAAGAACACATGTGATTGTATTTAGGGCCTACCTGGCTAATCCAGGATAACCTCATCTCTGGATCCTTAATTTGATAACATCCACAAAGGTCTTTTTCATACAGGGTAACATTCACAGCTCCCAGGGATTAGAATCTAGATGCCTTTGGGGGTTGGGGGACCATTATTTAGCCTGACAGATAGGGATGGAAATTTCGAACACATCACTTTTCAGTTATCTAAGGGCAAGACAAAAGCTCTTATATTCTTTTGTATTCATTCATATTCTAACATTGCCAACTCATACATAGAAAAAGGCTCAATAGAAAAGCTCATCAATTAAATGAACACACACACAGAAGAAAACTAATGCAGGTTTTGCTGTATTTTCCATGCATATGTCAGACCTATGACAAATGCTTTTCTCTGAACATTGCTCGTAGGCTCTGTTTCTCTCCTGCCTCCATCATTCTTCTCTTTCATCTGCCTCTGTTTCATCAGACTTCATCAATTCCCTCCCTCCCTCCCTCCCTCCCTTCCCTCCCTTCCCTCCCTTCCTTCCCTTCCCTTCCTTCCCTTCCTTCCTTCTTTCCTTCCTTCCTTCCTTCCTTCCTTCCTTCCTTCCTTCCTTCCTTCCTTCCTTCCTCCCTCCCTCCCTCCCTCCCTCCCTTCCTTCCTTCCTTCTCTCCTTCCTTCTATATTTCCACCTAGCAGGTAAAATAAATGGATGAAAGTAAAATATACCTGGTTTCTACTGGTCCTTTTTACAGCAAATTAAAATTATTAGTAAGAAAATATAAATAAATGTTGAGGTCAAACAACCAAATTAAATCTGAAAAATGCTATTCAGAAATGCCCACCCTTTAGAAGGCTTAACTGGGTATAGAAACCCCCTGCAGATGATTGTTGAAATTTTTCAGTTTCATCAGGGTGTTGAGTATATAGTTTTTAGTTTGCCCTTGTGAATTCTCCATTGATGATGATGAATAGAATCATTTCTGGAACTCAAATTAAAAGTAAACAGAGTAGGGCTTCTCATGTGTAACCAATAAGTTGTGGCCAATTATGATGTTAAGGACATTAGTGTCCTTCAAAGTTACCAGGTGCAGTTAGATGGTGTGAGGTTAGCAGGTAGCAATAGGGTCGGGCTATTAGTGTTAAATATTACTGATTTAAATGCCAGCTCTCAATTATCCATGCTAATGGGGGAGATGGGAGGCATGGAGGAATGAAAACCGGAATGATAATGGTAATAATAAAAAATGCTTCCCAGCTATTGCTTTGAATAGCCTCTAGTGTTTAATCAGGGCAAAAAGAAGAATAGATTGAATTGTCTACTCTTTCCTTTGCGAATTCTGGGGACAATTTTAGCAAGCACAGTACTGGGTTCTATAGGGATAGGTAGGCAATGGGGGAAGTCTTTCTGTGACTTCTTCTGTCTGAGCCTGTTTCACATTTGACTCTCAGGGCTGCTTTTACTTATTTTTAATTTAATTTAATTTTTGAGACAAAGTCTTGTTCTGTCACCCAGGCTGGAGTGCAGCGGCATGATCTTGGCTCACTGCAAACTCCGCCTCCCTGGCTGAAGTAATTCTTCTACCTCAGCCTCCTGAGTAACTGGGATTACAGGCACCCACCACCACACCTGGCTAAGTTTTGTAGTTTTTCTTAGTAGAGATGGTTTCACCATATTGGCCAGGCTGGCCTTGAACTTCTGACCTTAAGTGATCTGCCTACCTTGGCCTCGGCCTCTCAAAGTGCTGAGATTACAGGCGTGAGCCACTGTGCCTGGCTGCTTTTACTTATTAATAGTAATGACACGTTAGTTATGATACCATCTTAATATATAAGAGGGTCACTTCGTTAAGCTTTGTTAAACCTCCTACTCCTTGCAGTACAGATTCTCCTAGTTAAGCTGGTACCACTGTCTTCTGAGTGTTCCTTTCCCATCCTGAGCCACTGTCAACATGAGCAGTCTCGGTTTCTACTCCCAGCTAGATTTCACTAGGTGAGAGGAGGCAGATTCTTTGATCTCTGGAGGACATCTGAAAGGTCAGTCAATGCCACCCTAAACATAAATCCTCTAATATGCCGTCTGTTTTCATTGTAAAGCTTGGAATCTATGATTAGATGCCACAAATTTGCTTCTGAACTGTGAGTTTGCTTTCAGTGTTTCTAAGCAGCTTATGGGGGCCCAAGTCAAGTTTGAGTTTCCCAGATCTCATTTAGTTTTTATGTTTCTGTGAACATTCTGAAGGAATTTCCTATCCAAATTCTACTTTCTTATCAAGATTCAACTCAAATATTTCTTGAAGCCTTTTCTAGTCTCTCACAATGGAAATTAGCTTTCTTTGGTCTATCATTAATAAACTTTTTTGGAATATCTCATTTTATTGTAATAAGCTATTGTTTTGTTATTTTTAACATTTTTTAAAAAAATTTGGAGACAGAATCTCACTCTGTCACCCAGGCTGGAGTGCAGTCACACAATCTCGGCTCACTGCAACCCCCACCTTTTGGATTCAAGTGATTCTCATGCCTCAGACTCTAGAGTAGCTGGAATTACAGGCATCACCACCACGCCCAACTAATTTTTGTATTTTTAGTAGAGATGGGGTTTTGCCATGTCAGCCAGGCTGGTCTTGAACTCCTGGCCTCAAGTGATCCACCCTCCTCTGCCTCCCAAAGTGCTGGGATTACAGGTGTGAGCCACCGTGCCTGGCCTATTTTTAGCATTCTATATTTGTACAGCAGGCTCCATCAAGAAAAGTTCGATGTCCTAAACAAACACCCAAATCCCCTCATCCAGTGCTTGTCTGAGGTGCTCCTGGTCAAATCATTCCTGGAGTATTGGGTTTAGTTTGGGTCCTCTTTCTGACGGATGTCGACAAACCAGAGTAGGGAAACGGCAATGACCAGAAGGGCAGAGTCTGGAAACCATGCTGTCCAAAGAACCAAGGGAAAATCTGAGGCTGTTCAGCCCACAGCAGCAGTGCCCAAAGTGTGTTCCCATAAAATTGCACTTCCCCAGCAATTTCTATGTTAACTTTTTATATTATTGCTCATTTAATTGTTCATCTTTCATACTAGACTTTATGCTCTGGGAAGTCAAAAATCATTTTTATCTACTGTAGTGATCCCAGCACATATCACAAAGCCTGGTGCGATGTAGGTGCTTAATGAGTATTTGTTGAATGAAAAATGAAGTGCTAAATTTTCTATTGCACTGTAATTCTGTGTGATGTTAAGGTGAAATTGGGAGAAATAAGATTTTTGTGGTCAAATGGGTTTGGAAAGTGCTTGCTGTAGTGCAGGTAGATGGGTTTTCTTACTGCTAGAATGCTCATAGTTTCAAGGAACAAAAAGTGTATTTTCAAAACAGGATTAGAATATACTCTATTTTTCTAAGTTTATTTCACCATGGAATACTCTTTTTTTTTTCCCATCACAAAGCATCCTATGGCAATGCCGTCCATAAAAAAAGGACAGGGGATATGATAGGGACTTTAAATACTTGAAGGGCTATTGTTCGTAAAGAAAGAAAAAGGACCAGTGAGTAGAAATTGTAATGGTGCATTTTTTGATTTTGCACAAAGATCTGGCTAAAAATAAAAGCAGTACAAAAATGGAATAGACAGGCTTCTAAGGCAGTGAATTCTGTTTCCCTGTTTAAGCAGCTTTAAGCAGAAGCTGAACACTCCTGGGGAGAGTTGCAGGGGTTGAATTATCCACAGACTAGAAGATTGTATTAGGTGACCTCCAAAGTCCCTTCCAAAGCCAAAGTTGTAGTATTCTGTATTTTCTCTTTCTCTTGTTTGCAAGTTTCTTGCCAAGAACACATTGTTGTCTCCTCAATGCCCATATCCCCTCCTCCAGTGCTTTGTTTCATAGTAGACATTTAATAAGAATTTGCATATTACTTGATTGGTCTTTATGTTGTTACAGAAATTAAAGAATTGTAATGGAGACATATTGGCTATAACATAGAAAACTTCTGTATAAAACTAGTTTTCTTAGAATTAGAAAATAGACAACCTTAATAGGAAGCCTGTCTTGTGGAAATATGTAGAAACATATGATTTAAGGGTATGGTATAATTGCTGATGCTATCTTTCTATATTTCTTTCCTCACAACCTCAAACCCAGAATCCTCACTCCCATTTTACTGGCGAACCTTGACTTATAACAAATGAGTTGTAATCATTTGGATGGCTTTGTTGTGAAATTTGAAAGCATATTGAATGATTCAGACATCATAAGCTAATTATCTGCAATTGTTAGGCTGAATATAGAGGGATAGTCATTTATCTGGTTTCTGCTATTTATGTGTTTCTGTTATTTGGCTTGCCATCTGGCCAAACAATAACGTGTTGGGAAGTTAGAAAGTATGTAGAGGTTGAGTCCTTTGGTACCAAACTCAGCCTAGTGCCGTGTGCTTCAGGCTTTCTTATAGGACTGTTCTTAATTCAAGTTTCAACTCTGCTTGCTGTTGTTGTCTGTGTATCTTGCAATTTGTTTTTATTAAGCTATCCAGAGTTGGCTTTTGTTATATGCTAACAAATGAACAGTAACAAATACAATGTGTTTAGATGAAAAACATGAACATTGCGGGTATGAGAAATAAGAACCTAGAGCTGTGCTTTCCAGTAGAAGTATGATGCAAACCATAGATGCAACTTTAAAATTTTTAGTAGCCACTTTCAAAAAGTTAAAAAAGGTGAAATTAACTTCAGTAATACCTTTAATTCAACATGCTATATTCAGAATGGTATCATTTCAACATAAAATTCTTGTAAAAAATTGAGGTGTTTACATTCTTTTTTATTCATAGCCTATCTTTTTGTATGGTAACATTTCATCAGAGATAATTGCTATCTACGTAGATTTCATAAAACTTACAGTTAAAAAAGTAGATTCACTTACTTACGTTGTTCCAAACACACTAAAAAGTTTTTCAATAACCAAAACGATTATCGACAAATAATTTACATTCAGTCTTTTGCTCAGGCTAGCCATGTTTTAAAGGCTGCCCAATTGGACACTGCAGGTCTAATCCTCACCTCTAGTTGATCATCAAATGGAAGATTCAGACCTCTCTACAGACCCAGGTTTCCTTTACTTTCTCAACACCCCACCGTTCCCTCCTCTAAACCATCACCTTCCACCATGCTTTACTGTCAGGATCCAGCCTGGAAAGTGGAGCACCTTATGTGGTACGAGGAATTGCCGACAGTCAGGATTTCATATAGAAAATACATTACACAGCTGTTAGTGGGCTCAAAGAGCATAAAGGCAAAACTGAGATAATAATAAAAAATAGCTACCACCCTTGGAACTGAGGAAAACTAAAGGAATCGCCCCAAATTAGGAGCTGGGAATGCAAGCCCCATCCAGTGGGTATTCAGGTTTCTGATGAGCCGCCGGACCCAGGCTGCCAAGGCTGGTCTGAGAGTGGCTGAGAAGCTGGCTGTAGTCACATGCTGATGCTAGACCCACAGCCCCTGCTCGAGTGACTCTGACAGGAACATGTTGGAATAATAGGAAAGAAGTCCTTTTTATCTCCTCCTGCCTTCTGGTTTCATTTTTGCTCCTTACATCATCTGGGCTTAATAGGAAGCCAGTAGGCAGAGCTCTGGCCTGGGCTTCATAGAGCAAAGGGTAGAAGCATGAACTTAGAGCTGAGAAAAAACAGGTAAATAGCTGGCATAGACATCCCTGGAAACTCTCACCCCTCCACTGCAGGAGCAGCCCTTAACTTGCATGGCTAACTCAGTTCCAGCAGAGGGCCCTGGCTGCGGTCTTCCCACTGCTTTGACAGTACCCAGTTAGAGCCCTTTAGGAAGAAGGCCTTCCTGGATGTATTGGAGTTTTGAGAATAGATCTCATTGTCTAGGTCGAGACTAACATAAGTCAAGAGTTCAGCTCAAACGAACCGGGCTGGTATTGATAAGTGTTTGGGCCCCGGTGAGGGAATATTTTTGTTAAGCTGATTCACGTATGACCAATTCCATTTTTAAGGGCAGCTTTATTTTTGCAAATGGTTAGTACCTGGAGCCTAACTATGTTTCATAGTCTATCCGGATTTTGCTGTACAGTCCCACAAATGGGCACGAAGGGGATTTTCAGTCTTCATCGTATCCCTTCTATGGGAGGAGGGAATCACCTTTCTTTCTCTTCAAAAATGACTTTTAAAACACTCGGGTCTTTACCACTGAAGCTTATGACAGCGCAGAGCACTCTAAAGAGATTTGCAATGTAGCTCTCATTCTTGAAGGTAAGACTCTAGAGTAGCTGTGCTGCTTTTCTGAGAGGGAGATAGATGGAGGGGGAGATGCTCTGATGAGGCTACAGCAACTAGGGGCAGTCCAATGGATGAGCAAATTACGATGAAGCACTAGTTCCAGGCCTCGACTCCAATGCTCCATTTCCCCATTCACATTCAAAGGCAAGTGGGATTATTTTTGTAAGAAAGATATATTTGTAGACTTAATGCTGCATATGTTTGAACTCTTTCCAAAATGATGTATTCATCAACGCTTAAAACATTTTGAAAGCTCTGTGTAATGGGAGGCCGCATTAGCCATTTCCTGGCAATGCAACATGTTTGTGTTTGGGTTACAGTTCAGTTCTTGGCTTCCTCATCACACAGCAGTTGGAATGAGTCTTTGAATTAGCATGAAATGACACGGTTTATTTTGTTTAGTCGATTTGGTCTTTACAAAGCTGGTGCTCATTGCTCCTGAGCCTGTTGTGAGCATTCGACTCTGATAGGCTGGAGGGGAAGAAAGGAGAAATCCTGACGATAGTTTTGACTCTGGGTTTCTCATTAAAAAGGAAAACAACCAATTCCCCTGCCACCCTCTGTTCCTGCCACAAAACAAAAATCAAGCCATGGCAAGAATCTATACAGAAGAATAAAACTCTCATTAAAGAGAATCCTTTGTGTTTGATTATAGTATGCCCTCTCTCCTGCCCCAGCCTATAAAGGTAGAAAAACAAAATTAAGCTCTACATTTTCTGGCTTTGCCTACAATTTTACCAAAAAAAGCCAACATAGGTGAATTACAATTTCTCCCTTTGGGATGTGGAAATAATCAAGACATAAATTACAGGGAAGTTAATGAACTCAGATCCTGTAGTATTCGACACCCAAGGTTTTGCTCTTTTATTTGGAATCCTCTTAACACTTAGAATTCCTTCCTTCAAGCGAGTTCCTGGCAGATGTTTTATTGTTCCTGTTGTTCTTCTTCTGAGGCTGTACATTAGGTTAAAATATCACAAATAGCTGCTATTATAGTGAGGGTCACAGAAGCTATAATTCTTCGTGACAGGCAGAGGAAATGTGACATGTTTAGGAAACCCTGTCACTGATATTAACACTCAGATCTTCAGGCAAATGTTTAATGACAGATTCAGCATGCTGCACAAAGTTTATTATCTACCAAGCAAAAGGTTACTTGCAGGGAACTATAAATACTATTTGGAAAATGTCCCTAGACAATGATGGGTTCTTTCTCCTCCTCTTCACCTCTTAATCTGTAATTGTAGGATAAATATCACATCTGAGACAAATCAGACAGATCTTCCTTCTTACCGTTCCTGTTTGTATATCCAATTATCTTATTTCCAGGCAGCATGCAGGGCACTGAGCTAAGCAATCTTTCCAGGTTTTAATCTGATGTTAGTGTAGACATTTGAGTCCTTCAAAATCTTGTAAAGTGTGGTCATTGGAAGTAGTATATAAATGTTGGCAGGATTACCCAATTACCTGCTAGTGATCTCACAGCAGAGTCACTAATATTATATATCCAACAAATAAAAAATTCCCCCAATATTTTTGATTTCCGGATATAATTACATAAAACTTTAGTGTTGTCTAACTTGGAATTTCTGAAACTCAGCACTGTAGACACTTTGGGCTGGATAATACCTTGCAGGGAGCTGTCGTGTGTACGGTAGGAGGCTTAGCAGCATCACTGGATCTACCCTGTACAAACTTGTTGTACCCCATCTAATACAGTTGTGACAATCAAATATGTCTTCAGATATTGCCAGATGTCCCCTGAAGGGCAAAATCATTCCTTGTTGAAAACCATGATGAAACTCTATGTCCCTTTCTACTTTTCTTTCCAGTCTCCAAACTAATTATTTCAAATGGATACATAAAATTTGTCATGCCATCTTGTAGGCCAAGTATACAGTTCTCAATACTGCCCAAAAAGGTCTTGCATACATATGTATGTTTTTCTGCTCAAGACATTCACGGGGTATTATCTGTGGTGATAAAAGGAAAACTTCAGCTGAATTAAATTTAAAAGAGTTTAATTGAGCAATGAACAATTGGTGGATCGGAAAGCCTCCAGAATCACAGCAGATTCACGGAGACTCCAGTCCAGCCATGTGTTGGAAGAAGATTTGATTTCCTGACCTTGTGATCCACCCACCTCGGCCTCCCAAAGTGATAGGATTACAGGCATGAGCCACCACGCCCAGCCGGCTTGATGAGTTTTTACAAATGTAAGCAATTGTGTTAATCACCACCACACTTGTGATATAGAACATCCTCATCATTCCATAAAGTTCTCTTCATCCTTCTGCAGTAAGTTCCCTCTCTCTCCCCTAACAACTTATGATCTGCTTCTTGTCACTATGGTTTTGCTTTTCCTAGAAATTCATATGAATGTAATAATAGTTTATAGCTGTTTGTGTCTGTTTTCCTTCACTCAGCGTAATTCATTTGAGATTTATTCATGTGGTTGTGTGTATGAGTAGTTTATTCCTTTTCATTGCTGAGTAGTATTCTATTGTATGAGTATACCACAATTTGTTTATTCATTCACCAGTTGGTAGACATTTAGATTGGTTCCAGTTATTGGCTACTATGAATAAAGCTGCCATGAACATTTGAATATGACTATTTGTGTGGACATTTATTTTCATTTCTCTTAGGTTGTGGTAGCAGAACATTGGACCCCCCAAAGATACCCATTCCTTAATCTGGGAAACTGTGGATATGTTACACAGTATGGCAAAATGGAATTAATACTGATGTAATCAAGGTTGCTAATAAACTGACCTTAAAGTGAGGAATCTGTCCTGTATTCCAGCTGGGTCAATCTAATCACATAAATTATTTAAAGTGGAGGGCCTATTATCCTTAGCAAACTAACACAGAAACAGAAAACCAAATAGTGCATGTTTTCACTTCCAAGTGGGAGCTCAATGGTGAGAACACATGGGCACAAAGAAGGGAACAACACACACTGGGGCCTATCGGAGGGTGGTGGGTGGAAGGAGGGAGAGGATCAGGAAAAATAATGAATGGACATTAGGCTTAATATCTCAGTGATGAAAAATAATCTGTACAACAACCCCCCCGGCACAGGTTAACCTATGTTACAAACCTGCACATTCTGTACATGTATCACTGAACTTAAAATTTAATTTTTTTTTTTAAGTAGAGGGCCTTCCCGGGCTACTGTAGAGAGACAGAGAGATGGCTCCTTGAGAAGGACTTGACCCACCATTGCTAGCTTTGAAATGAAGATAGAAGGGACAAGGAATACAGGCATTCTCTGGAAGCTAAAAAAGTGAAGAAAATGAATTTTCCCCTAGAAATCCCAGAAAGAAATTCAGCACACTAACACCTTGATTTTAGCCCAGTGAGAGCTGTGCTTGAACATGTGATTTACAGAACTGTATGATAATACATTTGGGTTGTTTTAAGCTACTGAATTTGTAGTAATTTGGAACAGTAGTCATGGAGATGAATACATGGGTCTAGTGGGATGGCTGGGTCATGTGAAAAGTGTATGTTTAACTTTTTTTTTTTTCAGAGAGTCTTGCTCTTTCACCCAGGCTGGACCGAACTGCAGTGGCGCGATCTCGGCTCACTGCAAGCTCTGCCTCCCGGGTTGACGCCATTCTCCTGCCTCAGCCTCCTGAGTTGCTGGGATTACAGATGGCCGCTGCCATGTCTGGCTAATTTTTTTTTTTTTTTTTTTAGTAGAGACAGAGTTTCACCGTGTTAGCCAGGATGGTCTCGATCTCCTGACCTCGTGATCTGCCCGTCTCGGCCTCCCAAAGTGCCGGGATTACAGGCATGAGCCACCATGCCCAGCCTGTTTAACTTTATAAAAACCTACCAAACTGTTTTCCAAAGTGGCTGTACTTTTACTGACTTTTTAAAAAGTAGGATTAGGATGGGTTCTAAACATAGGTGTGTTTCTCTACCAATTTTTTTTTATAGAAAGACTTCCAGATCCAGAATCTAGAGAAAGGAAAAAAGCATGAGCTGCCCATCTGTTGGTCTAGCAGTTTGGGGGATTTGGGAGACTGCTAAATAACAGCCGTAGCCGGGAGGCTTTCACAAGGCCATTCACACAGGTAGTATTTCCAAAGAAAGGTCCTGTCATGCCTGTTTCTCTGATTGGCGGGCTCATATTACCATAGAGGCCAGAGGAAGCCAAAGGGCTAGGCTTCTCCATTACCTTTTTCATTCCCTTTGAGCTCACCCTAGCTCCAACACTTGCTGTTGCAAGTATTGGCATTGGTGGTATACAACAGCACCTACTTCTACTAATGGGGGTCATTCTCTTTTGCCAGTTTACACCACAGGAACTGCGTCTAATTGAAATTCATCCAAATTTCTAGTTTATATGTGAAGCTACTCCTGATTTGCAGCAAGGGTGAAAATTTTTCTCTCTAAGCACTTTTTTCTGGCCATTTCAGCATGAATTTTGAAGAGTCCTAGTATTTAAAAAAATGCCTCTTGTTAAAGGGAGTAGGAAAGACTTTATTCAAAGGAGACTACTATAATGGGGGTTTTGCAGTAGGGGAGACAGATGAATCCCACTCCAAATGCAAGGGCAAGTGAGGAATTATAGTCAAGGAACAGGGTGGGGGTCAGTGGATGGAAAATTACTAACAGGAAACTTCAGGGGTGAGGGAGGATTCTAGCTAACCCAACTTGACAGGATTCTTGATGAAGGCAGGCCAGGGTGATCAGATATCAAGGATGGGGCATGAGAAATTTGATCACATGTCAAGAGTGGAGAATTTTTGCTAAAATGACCTGGCCTGATTCTTGCTAAAACTAGACTAAGGGAGCCAAGGACAGAGCCATGGTTGGAGTATGGTTGAAAAGAGGATTTAGGGCTGGACACTTGTGGCTCATGCCTGTAATCCCAGCACTTTGAGAGGCCAAGGCAGGTGGTTCACTTGAGGTCAGGAGTTTGAGAGCAGCCTGGCCAACATGGTGAAACCCCATCTCTACTAAAAATACAAAAATTAGCCAGGCGTGGTGGTGCACACCTGTAATCCCAGGTACTCGGTAGGCTGAGGCACGAGAATCACTTAAACCTGGGAGGTGGAGCTTGCAGTGAGCTGAGATTGCACCACTGCACTCCAGCCTGGGTGACAGAGGGAGACTCTGTCTCGAAAACAGATACTTTGTCACTACTGGGCAACTGTGCTCAAACTGCTACCTTGGTCTTTGATAATATTTTTAAGATACAGTGTCGCATATTTAAGAGATTTTTGGAAAAGACAATTGTCATTGCTGTTAATTTTTAAAACCGTGAAAGACACGAATTTTACATAATCAATATAAGGGAAAATATGATCAGGAAAATATATATTAGCCAAGCTAATATAAAAACAGTACCTATTGTCTGTAATCCAAACAATCCTTATGAACTGTGTTAGAAAATCATGACAAGTAGAAAAGCAACTTTGTTACAGGATTGCTGTTAATTAGCTTGAATTTGAAAGATGAAACCCTATGATTTAAGAATTTTACTCTTCTGATTCTTCCATTTTTCAGAAAAGCAGTTTTCAATTTTTATGAAAAATGGCCCCATTTCCAGACCATGGGCCAATGGTGGAGTGGATTTGAAGAGGGGCTGGGAAGATCCTGTACATGTTGTGTTGTGTCACCATAAAGGTGTCAGGGTGGTGGAGTGCTCAAAGTGAGGCCAGCATTGTCCCTGTGGGAGTCCCACCTGCTCTGCAATCTTGCCTGTCATGTGTTCTTGATGTGGATAGGCTTCTGAAGTGCTTTGGTGGCCATTATCATGGCTGTGTCTGATTTTCTTAATCATGCATGGCAATGACACCCAGATAGGCTTTGTTCCTCAGGTTCCATTTCTGGAGCACGGATGTATTTGCTAACATCTATTGTGGGCGTGTTATCTTCCACAAGCAGCACATGTTATGTTGCCTAAAGGGATGGCAGCCTGGGCTTCTCGGCCCTCCATGAAGCATGGCAGAATTCCAATGGCACATCTGCAGGCAGACTTAAATGTGTTAAAGTACTTATTTTCACACCCAATAAATCATCAACGAGATGGAGTCACATCACATAAACCTTTCAGTGGCTACCGATGCTTTTGGGACAACCAAAATCTTCAGCACAGCTGACAAGGTTCCCTGATATTATAGAGTGGTGACACTAACGCCATTTTTCTTCAATAGAAGGTTTTAGATACACTTTATCTACCCTTGTGCACACAAACCCCAACACTCTCTCCATTGGCTCCTGCCATCCAACCAGTGATTTCTACACCAGGGTTACAACAGAGATTGTGAGGGCCTTCAGTATGGCTCTCAAACAAGCTGCAGGGAAATCATAGTGGCTTGTGTTAGTGGAGAATTTTTTGAGGTAGTCATACCTGTCTTCCAAATCTTCACCTCTCAAAGTTTAAAAAAAAAAAAAAAGCATCCACTGTGACTCCCCCCACATTTTTCCACCCCTTGCTGGAGAATTCATCCCTGTTTGGTAGGCATCAATGCTACATTTCAGCCGTACCATACAGAAATGAAAATGCAGACTGGGGCTCTGCCCTCCCTAACCTGCTGCTTTGTGTTCACACTCAGTAAACACTGAAGTTCAATCACATTCCACTCTGCAGAATATAGTCAATTAGGCTCCTGCTAGTGATTGTATATTCTGATTGTACACAACAGACTGTCCTTTTTCTCAAAGGTTTAAGAGAAAAATTAAACCGTTTCTGAAGTTTCTAAAATTTAAACTCAACTAATGGGCTTACTGGCCATAATTGAGTTGGTGGGTCCTAAGCCAGATAAGGACCACTAATTGTTCAGTACTTTTATGTTAATTAAATTATTTTCCCATTAGGAAAGCTTGCTATTTACAAAGTATTATTAATGTACCATGCCCTTTGTCCCCACCCCTGCTTTTAGTTGCCTATAACTTGAACCTCTTAATAAACCAACTCTAAGCCCTGAAATATAGTATCGTTTGTTATTGCTATTTTAAAATACTAAGCTTTCCTGAAATAAACTGGCAAATAATTCTATTTCATTTTATCTTTTATTTTTGAGCTGAACATGTTATTTGGAAATAAAAAACAAGCAGATTAAAAAGAAAACAGTTGAAAATCTATCCCTTTATCACTAGTTTCTTGGGGAAATTTATCTAACATTATTTTTCCTTTTTGGTATGCTTGTTGTAATCCATTTATTTTCTTTTCACTGCTTGTCAAGACTCCATTCTGAAACAGCACTCTTCCCATGATTATATTTCTGAATCCTCTGAGATCTCTGACTAAATTGTGCAGAACATGTGCTGCTGTAAGATTTCATTGAAATGTATAAAGAATAAGGGATTTTGTTTTCTTAAATTCCCTTTAGTATATAAAATATTTGGTGAGTTGCTGATACCTTTATTTAAACTTTTTAAAAAATAGACTATTACTTGTTTTTTTTTTATTTTTATGCTTGACATCTCTAATTATGGTTTTTAATTGGGGTTATTACATAAAGGAGAATGAACCATAACGTTGTGACCTTCTGTTCTGCCTGGTTATTTACAATATTCCTTGGTGAGTATTCAATTTTAGATCCAGCAGGCAATAACTGGTGATTGTTCTAAATACCTGCTTTGATGATTTGAAATAACATTACAGTCACAACTAGTATATTCTATCATCCTACCCTGCCCCCAACACACATACATTCGCCCTAGGAGAGGAGAGCAAGCCAACTGGGAAAGGAGAACTAGGGCAGAAATCTGAGTAGCTAGAGCCAAATGTTTTTAATCTGCACATGGCTATGGTAGGGCAAAAACTGCACTGCCTACTTCATCCATTCTGGGCTCACAATCCCCCAAGTTCTTATAAGAATGGGACTTGCCTTGATGATACACTTGCAAGTGGTGTTATCAGAAAACTGTATTGGAAACAAGATGATTGTGTAAGGTGAACATTAATGCTTATGTTTGCCTTGGCACTAACCTGAGAAACTTGTATAATGTGGCTTATAAACCATCTCTCTTGACTATGAGGAAGACCTCGTGAGCACAAGCCAGGTAAAGAGGCACCAGCTAGGGATTGGAGTAGCTGTGCAAGGGGGAATCAGGAAATGCACTGCAAGGGCCACTGGCGATGAAAATACAAAATAGGTTTTATTGAGGAAGAATTTATAAGCAGAGAAGTAGCAGGGTGCACACAACTCCTCAAAACTTCAGCATACCATGGCTTGTGCTGGACAGGGGAGGACTGCCTGTATCATGGCTGACGTGTCATGGAGAGGAATCCTGGACCTGTGATACTGCACATACATAGGGACTGCTGGAGCAGTTTACATCTATGCCATTATGTAATCCCAGATGCTCCTTGATCAGAGAAATGGCTTTATTTGAAAGAGGAACCTTCTGGAATCCAGTGTTTTCTATCAGATTGTTCTCTGTTAAGCCAGCTCTCTCCTAAACTACCAAACCAGAGGAGGAAATGAACCTCTAGGGTTATCAGATTCTCTCTCCTCTGAGTGATGCACAATGAAACATCAGGACATTATTTCTTAGGACAAGAAAGTGGAGACAAAATCAGTATAAGACAGAATACTACAGAGACAGTGAACCTAGGGACATTGATGAAACCGCAAAGAATCAAAACCAGAGTGAGAGAGAGTGCATGTGTTGGTGTGATGTGGTTGTGTATATGTGTGTGTGCACCCAGCACTATACTCCTAGACACATCACATGGAAACTCTAAACAAAGTATTAGAGGGCCGGACGCGGTGGCTCATGCCTGTAATCCCAGCACTTTGGGAGACCGAAGTGGGCGGATCACAAGGTCAGGAGATCGAGACCATCCTGGCTAACACGGTGAAACCCCGTCTCTACTAAAAATACAAAAAATTAGCCGGGCTTGGTGGTGGGCGCCTGTAGTCCCAGCTACTCGGGAGGCTGAGGCAGGAGAATGGCGTGAACCTGGGAGGCGGAGCCTGCAGTGAACCGAGATCGCACCACTGCACTCCAGCCTGGGCGACAGAGCGAGACTCTGTCACAAAAAACAGACAAACACAGCAAAGTATTAGATTGGTGCAAACAAAATTAATTGCAAGCAAAAACCACAATTAATTTTGCACCAACCTAATATATGACATTACTTTTATCAACCAACTTTCAAAAAATTAGGCTCATAGCTCAAAAAATTATGTTAAAAATGAAAAAAATAAGCAGGGTGGGGAGAGGAGTGCTATTTTAAATAAAATTATAAATGGAAATAATTGAAGGTATAACCACATTCGGCTACCTCTTGCCTCCAGAGAAATTCAGAATCCTACTAGAAAGTTTACAGTGCTCAACTTAGATTCTACCCTAGGCACAAATGTACAGTAAAACTAGTTCAGAGAAGCAAGTTTTGATTACTTATACAACACAAGAAGACTCCTGTCTATTTACTTCATTATTTCTGGAAAAAATGGAGTTTTGCATGATACTCTGCAGAATGTGAAAGGAGACAAATACCCTGGTTTTGTTTTTGACATGCCAGCAAATGCTCTAAGAGCAACAGAGTTAATGCTGCCATAGAGTGAAGAGCTGATATAGTCCCTGTCCAGAGAGAAATGTTGGAAGTGGAGCTGATGCCTCCATTTCTCAGCTGCATATTCCTGCAGGGCAGTTGGAGGCTGTGGTGGAAACTCCAGCCACTCCTTAGCCTCCCTGTCACAGTCATAACTCTTGCTGCTTACATTAAAAATAATTTCCAATAACATACTTCCTAGAAGAAGAGATAAATGTCCAAAGGCAAAAAGAAAGTAAAATAAAATATCAAAAAGTGGAGGTGGATTGAGGAAAAGAATTAAAAGAGGCAAGAGGGAGTGCCACATTCTTTAGATCTACCCAGGACATCTTTCCTGGTTTATGGTTCTTTCTCTGTTGAACCACAAAGAAAAAAACGTATTAGGACTCTGAATTCCAGGCTATATTGTCTGTCAAAGGATTTACCAGTTAGAGAACCAATTAAGTTTTAGCTCCCACAGCTCAGGAGGATATAAAAATAGGATCTTATATGGCCTTTGAAATGTTGGGACATATACTCTCTTCTTAAAAGAAGAGAATTGAAACCTGCTTTTCTCTTTTCAAAAAGAAAAAAAAAGAGCAGCATTCTGTAGCTTTCATGGTTTTCTTTCAGACTCTGTTCCAAGATCTGTGGCTTTAGTGTGTATGTGTAAGTGCACACACAGTCACACACACTACGTGCATATTTGCACACATTAATGCAGGAATGGTTTGCTGTAGAGTTAATGTAGATATTTTCTCCTTCTAAGCAAGTGATTATGTCCTTTCTTCCATGGTCAGATGGATGATTTAAACAGCTTGGAAGGGCAAGGGCAAGAAAAGCTTTGATTTATCTGCTGCTGAACTGATTTAGACAAATGCAAGAAGATGATACATCACTGAATTAGGGCAAGCAGGACAATAATGAGAACCTAAATTGAGTGACAAGTGCACACCGAAATCTATATTAATCACTAAATAAGCAGGCATACATGTGTACACTGTACCTTATTTTATGTTATAGAGTGGTACTCATCATGTTTCAGAATAGTTTAATGAATGCTTTAAATCTGTAATTAGTAGGGCTCTTGTGTTCTCACGAGATACTGGCATTGTGGTGAACTATCAAATAAATATGATATAGAAATTCAGATCCTGTACGTGGAACTATTGTCAGAGGAAAGAGTCAGAGAAACTGAGCAAGTATTCAATCTAGCAGCAGCAAATTTCAAAACTATGCTATCCTTGCAGTACAGAAAAAAAAATGTCCCATTTACCTTCAACATGAAACCAAAGGAAATAGGAACAACAGAGGAACAAAAGTTGCTCTCTCCTTAAATTTTGTCATATTGATTGTGTCTGCCAATCAGATATTCTATTCTATTTGTTTTTCAAGAATTCCTGCAGGTGATCTGGGTGGGAGGTGAGTTCCCAGAGTAAGTAACTGAAAAAAGAAAGCAGGGTTCCAATGAACCCTAGAGGCAACTGTGAAATGGTTATTACAGGTTGACATGAGGCCTGAGGAGTTGGATGGAGGCTGAGGGGTTTGTAGCAGTCAGCCCTGACCAGTCCTACCTGGGTTGTCACTTTATTGATGGCTCAGGGAATGTCTCCTTTTTGTTTGCATTTGATAGCAAGATGCCTTTAGATTTCTTCCCTTGCCCATTAAGTCAAGGTGCAGTTTTTGCTTTAGAAATTTCAGAATCGAGTTTTTCCAGCACTTCTTTTTCTGATGCATTGGGTTAAATATGGATGATAAAATTAAAAAAAAACACTCATTCAAGTGACCTCATGTTTTGTGTTTGTCACCTGTTTTCTTGTTGTGCTGAGTGTTACCCTCAGATTGACCTAGCTGTTTGTGTACACCCAGTCACTGCCAGATACATAGCTGAAATGAATTTTAAAAGAAGAAAAAAAAAAACACTGGAAGCTACAAACTAAAAAGAACTCTATGCAAATGACCTTACACAATTACACCTAAAATCAACATACTAGAAGGTCAGTAAATATTATTATTCCTCAAGACATTTTGAGCAATTACCTAATATTGGGTGAATAGTATTTCAATACCTCATGTGGTGTACTTGATAGTCTTTATTCTTACAAAAGATTCATTGTTAAATGTGTTTTTGGGTCAGCTTTGATGTTTATCAAACATACCGGCCTCTGGTCTTTATGGATCCTGCTGTGCCTGGCTAGACTGGTTACTTTTGCCCTGGTTCCTGAGGATGTCTGGATAAAACTTCGTAGTAGAGGACTGGGTAGTACAGTCTATGACATCTTTAGTGGAGTGATCTAAACCTTGACTTTCAAACCTTGGATAAGATGTTAGCTTCATCAATAGTCAGGGCCCACCCAAAACACTGTTGTGAAAATAGGTAACTTCTTTCATTCCTTTTTTCCTCTTTAGATGCCAAATGACTCTATGGCATCCTGTGGGTCCCTGCTAGGGCATTCTCTCTGGACTGGCTTTCCCCTTTTACTGTTTTACTTGTCTCCAAATGAAAACTCGAATTCATTTTGTCCTTGTGACTCATTAGCTGATCTGATTGATCAATGTATGTAATTTTTTTTTCTTTTTTGAGATGGAGTTTTGCTCTTGTTGCCCAGGCTGGAGTGCAATGGTGCAATCTCGGCTCACTGCAGTCTCCGCCTCCCAGGTTCAAGTGATTCTCTCACCTAAGCCTCCCAAGTAGCTGGGATTACAGGCACTTTCCACCACATCCAGCTAATTTTTATATTTTTAGTAGAGATGGGGTTTCACCATGTTGGCCAGGCTAGTCTCAAACTCCTGACCTCAGGTGATCCACCCACCTCAGCCTCCCAAAGTGCTGGGATTACAAATGTGAGCCACCGTGCCTGGCCTGTATGTGTTTTTAACCCTTTGACAAAGGGTTACATATCAATTTTAACCTGCTCTTCCAGATCACTTCATATGTTAACCAATGCCTTCCATGCCTAAATCCAAAGCAGCAAAGAACAGCAGAGCTACTAAATAACCAGGTGTAGCAGACCCAGAGCTACTTGGATCCCTGCTGGAAAGATTCCAAAACTTTATCCTGAAAACTCAGAATTTGTAAAAACAAAAATTTAAAAAGACAGTGATATCTATTTCATTTTTCAGTTTAAATGGTGAAAATATATGCCCTCAGGATCTAGAATATGCTTTTCATGTATAATGTTTCCTTTTCCACATTTTTTTTTTAGGAAATACTAGAACTAATGAATCCGAATGGTAAATAGTTTTAACAGTACAGGAGAGTATCAAATAGAAAAGTAATCTCCTTGTCTCTCCACTCCCTGTCCCTAGACTCACTTCCCGGAGGCAACTATGTTGGGCACTATTTGTTTTTAGAGTTTCTGGAGGTTTCCTCTTAAGTTGAAATAATATTTTTTATGCCTCTATTTCTTGATTTATCAATTATCAACATTATATTTTGACTTTCCTATGAAAATGGGGAATTTAGTGCACTTACATTACCTTTCATCTAGTGTTTCCCATCTATTTCCTGATTTTTATTATTGTACATTATTTATAACATTTACATTCTGTTCTGCAGTTCTGTACTTATAAATAAATCTTTTATATTCTGTCTAATTCTATGGTTCTCAAATAAACAAAATAATTAACATATTTAATATTATAATTATGTAACTGTTATTTACTACAGAACTAAGTAGAACAATTTGATGCAGGTGGATGGTAAAATAATTAAGCAAGTTAGATTTTTGCTGTTGGAAGTGAAATTTTCAAAGTTTGACAAAGAAATTTGTTTTGTTTTCCGTTTCACTTTCTTCACTATTTTTGTGTCAGAATTTCTCTGGTTCCTCATATACTATGTCATTTCTTTGTGAGATGCTATTTATTTTTTAAACTTTTGCTGGTATACATTTCTTTTTTTTCAAATATCGAACATGAATTGTAAGCTTTGGGATATTCCACATCAAAAAACATTTTAAAACAATCCTCACACTTTGTTCATAATGTTGTATGAAAGATTCAAGAGAACTTTCATCTCTGGACTTTGCTCCTTATTTTTTAGTTTTGACTGTGGCTTCTTCTTTTGCAGTTAGCCTGTTTTCTTTTTCTTTTTGGAAGTTTCTTAGATCTATAGTTTATTCTGCCTTGAAATTTAATAGGAGACGGCCAGTTGTGTGAATCTTAAGACCTTGGCCTTTTCAACTAAGGCAAATCTCCTTTTATTATTTCTTTTTTGTGTTCATAGTTTTCCCTATACCATTATCTGTTTTGTGTTTATGGAGCTTATCAAATGAATAGTAAACATTTAAAGTGTATCACCCTTTACTTTTTTCTGTTACGTTTTCTACTATTTTGTCTTTTTTCTCCATTCTGAGGATTTCTTAAACTTTATTTCATGTATCTCTAACTCTGTGACTATCTTCATATTATCATTTAGCACATTCATTATTTTAAGTTGACCATCAAATTTCTAATTTTTTAAGCTCTTGGATTATTCCTTTTTTGTGGCAGCTTATCCTTATATTAAGGATAAAATGTCTTCTTGAATATTTTTTAGGATATCAATTAAATATTTTAAAAGTCTGTTTTCTCCATAGGAGAAATGACTCCACTAGGAGTCAGTGTTTTTTGTTTTTGTGGTACATCCTGGTCTTTGTCCTCCTATTCTTTTGGATTTCCCTGGGTGTTAGATGCTCTTTTGTTTGTTTATTTTCACGAGTGCAGAACTGTATGATTAGTACAGGTAGATGTGGGTGGCTGCT
Organism: Homo sapiens; assembly: GCF_000001405.40. Lineage (NCBI taxonomy): Eukaryota > Metazoa > Chordata > Mammalia > Primates > Hominidae > Homo > Homo sapiens. The sequence goes on along the minus strand of NC_000012.12, from coordinate 41,781,345 downwards.
CACCCAGAAGGCCTTGCTTTTGAAGAGGCCTGGATGTGGAGTCTGTGTGGTTGGGGGCACACATCAGTACAGTAGTTTTCCTTGTGGGGCCCTTGAATAGGGGAACTTGACTCTGGGAATGGAGTGCTTTAGTCGGCTTCACCCCCAAGCTGCCTTTCTTCTCCCATTTTGTTTCATTAGGTTTCATTATTATATCTCCTGGAGGTCCAGAGTTACCAAAGACTTGGCATCTTTCTCAGGACCCAGATCCCTCGCCAAGCACCCTGACTTCCTCTTCAGGCAGATGACATACTCTATTTGTTCGAGCCCAGTTCTTGGGCTTCGAGAGTTCACTTCTGAGGGCAAAATCCCATTTTGGTTTCATTTTGTCACTAAACAGTTAATTCTTTTACACGTTTTTTTTCCCTTTGCCATTTCAAGGGAACATGGAGGAAGAGAGTCAAAAGATGAGTGCACAAGTCTGTCATTTCCTGACCTGAGGCCTCCCCTCTCCTTCCTGTGATATTGGTTCCAGTTAAACGAAGACTAGCCAAAAAAATGGGCAATTATTTCACCTGAAATGAAATTATCTGCTAAAATTAACACAATGTAAGTTATTAATTAGCTTTTTACACTTTATGAAAACTCACTTTAGCTCCAGAGAACACAGGCATCTGAATGTCAGACTCAAGCTCTTTGATGGCCGGGCCCATATTTAGGACACGGAAATGTCCCGAGGTCTCCATATTTAGGGACAGAGAAAGGAGGCTATCAGGGAAAATCAGCCAGGGCCTCTCATCTTTCATAGAAGCATGCATGTCTCTCTTATTTCCCCTTTAACATGAACTTCCAACTCTTCTTTCATCGAGTCTTAAATTTTGCCCCTCTAATGTCACAGAATGGTGGTGTATAGACAGGACAACCTAAGTCAATATTCTTACATTTTTATTTTATTACTATGAGATCAACCACTGACCTGTAGAGTTCAGAGAAATACATTTTATATTGCTGAAGAAACTTTGAATGTACCTTGAACCTAAAATAAAAGTTTAAAAGAGAACTATAAGAGATTTTGCACTGAGAGATCATATACTTTTTAAAGATGTAGATCACGGTTGTCTGACCTTTTGGCTTCCCTGGGCCCATTGAAAGAAGAATTGTCTTGGGCCTCACATAAAATACACTAATGATGGCTGATTGAGCTTAAAAAAAAGGTCAGTGCGTAATTTTTGTGTATTCCATCACCACAGATTAGCAAAAAGTTCCTCTCATTCAAAGGGTTGGACATCGCTGAAGCTGAAGAGAGTCAGGAAATATGTACCTGAAAGGCACATGGAAGAGACCTATTACCTGTACAGAATTTTATGTATTGTGATGTGGAGACCCCAGGTCTCCATTTATATCACTTATTCACTCATTCAGCAAGCATTTTGAGTGCCTGTTCTGTGCCAGGCACTGCGTCACGGAGTGAAGGTACAGTGATGGTGGGGAAGACAACGTGTTTGCTTTTATAGAACTTACATCGTAGTAGAGAAGCAGATATAAGCAAATTTATAATGTAATACAAGGTGGTGCTATGTGCTCAGTTGGTGTAAAGTAGAGTGAACTAGTAGAGAAAATGGCTGGGAGCAGTAGTCTTTCTGAGGAATGATATTTGAGCAAATACCTTAAACCTACAGTTTCCAAACTGTCTTCCAAGGAACTCACAGGGTTGCTACCAGATAATTCAGACTTTTGAGGGAAATGCAATATTATTCAACATCTGTTAGATACTGCACAAACTACTAGCTTCAGGTGATTCTCACAGTTTCACATCAGATTATGCTACTTTCCTTTCAATGATGATTTATCTTTGCAAAGCTGAGTTTTTGTTGTTGCTGTGGTAATGAGTGAGTACACAGTGAAAGCCAAGAAGAAGAGATGAAGGTGGCAGGGTCCAATGTGATTTCAAAGTTTGAGGAACTGTGCAGTGCCTAACAGGTGCATACAACCCACTAGTACATGTAGAGACAGAAAAAATGTGGAGATTATTATATGTAGAGACAAATACATTTACTTCCTAATTCCCAGAACCTGTGAATGTTACCTCATATTGTGAAAAAGTGAATATTACCTTATATGGCAAAAGATGTAATTAAGTTAAGGCTCTTGAGAGAATGCATTTATCCTGGCTTATCTGAATGGAATCACATGTGTCCTTATAAGAGACAGAGAGAGATTAGACCCAGACACACACAGTGGACAAAGTGGTATGAAGGCAGAGATTGGAGTGATCTGGCTACAAGCTAAGGAATGCCAATAATTGCTGCAACCGTCAGAAGCTACAGAGGTATGAAATGGATTTACTCTCTGGAGCCTCTGAAGTGAGCGGGCCATTGATGACACCTCACTTTCAGACTTCTGGTCTCTAGGACTATGAGAGAATACATTTCTGTTATTTAAAACCACCAAGTTTATGGCAATTTGTTACCATAAGAATAGGCTAGGAAGTAGTCTTAGGAAACTAATGCAGTAAGTGATTGTGTTACTTATAAAGAAAATTAAAATTTTATTTATTTATTTATTTATTTATTTATTTATTTATTTATTTATTTTTGAGACAGAGTCTCACCCTCTCCCCCAGGGTGGAGTGAATTGTCATGATCTTGGCTCACTGCAACCTCTGCCTCCTGGGTTCAAGAGATTCTCCTGCCTCAGCTTCCCGAGTAGCTGGGTCTAAAGGCGCACACCACCATGCCAAGCTAATTTTTTGTGTATTTGTAGAGACAGGGTCTGGCCATGTTGGCCAGGCTGTTCTTGAACTCTTCACCTCAGCTGATCTGCCCGCCTCGGCCTCCCTAAGTGCTGGGATTACAGGTGTGAGCCACCATGCCCAGGCTAAAATATTATTTTAAATTTCAATTTATGCATATCATTTTCTAAATGGCCATAAATGCTTACTATGTTGTGTGGACTGAACTCCTTAATACACAGAACTGTTCGGTATTTCTTTTGCCCAACAGTAGACATGAAAATACTGCTGAACTTTCATTGCATGAACCAAAGAAGTTTTGGAAATTCTTCCTTACTGTGAGAGAGTGAGCAGTGAGTTGTTTTGAGGGCAGTGTGTTCCAGGAAGAGGCAAAATCAAGGGCAGAAGTCCTGAGGCAGGAACAAACATGGGGAATCCCAGAGCAGTAAAAGGCCGGTGTGGCGAGGTGTACTGAGTAGAAGATGAGGTAAGGGATAGAAGCAGATTTGGATGATGTACAGCCTCACAGGCCAGAGTAAGGAACTTAATTGTGTTGTGAGATTGAAGAGAAGCCTTGGACAGTGTTGAGGAGAGGAGTGATATGTGACAGGATTTGCACTTTCAAATGAACATCTAGCTGTAGGTTGGAGAACTGTCTATGGGAAGCTGATTTACAAAAGTATAAAACATTAGCTCCGGGCCTGCTCAGAGGCCTGGATAAATCTTCGCCCCATCCTTGCCACCTTCTTCTCTTGGTTTCTCTGTTTACCTTCGGTACATAAGACTCTAGATATAGTAGAAATGATGAAATGTGCACACAGGGCAGAGAAATTTGGTATGTTTGCCACTTGGTGTATCCCTTTCTGGAGGTGAAACCCTCTTCCAGAAGTGTATTAATTGACTACAGAGAAGAAAGAGCAGGAGCATTTTATCACATTGCGTAGGAATGGAGAGGGCAAGGCACTAGAAGGTGCTCTGTGGGGGCAGTGCAGCCTGTCAGGATGACTTCAGCGGTGTGAGTCAGCCTTCGTAAATGACAGGAGCAGGACCTCCTTGGTCAAGGCGTCCAGTGTGGTGAGCCTTGGGGCCCAGCCATCTGTCGAGGAAGATGGCGCCATTTATTTCCTGTGCTTGGTAGTTGCAGGGAACTCCTTTGAGCAAAAAATCTTAGAGGCATAAGGTAATAGGATAAGTAAAAGCAACAGAGACATTACTAGGGCCACAGCTGGGGCAGAGGCAGACCCTCACAGAGATGAAAAGAGCAGACAGGGCTCTCCCAACAGCATTCTTGGTGCAGAAATTGCCGATGTGTGACCTTGGGGAACCAAGGATGGATCCCATCTCCTCTTTTCCAACAGCCTTTTAACTCAGTTGCGTGATTGAAACCCATGATAAGGCTAATAAAAAAGGAATTTCCTTTGTAGAGGTTGACTCATTCCCAGTTCTAGTCCCACTGAACTCTTTGCTGGTCAGCCTACATGTTTAATTCTGGACATCACATGAAACCTTGATGAAATTGTTAAAAATGATAAACCAAAGTTATCTTGATTTTCAACATTCCTAGTTTCCGTCTTGAACCACAGCTTCTCTGCTCCAAATCACTGATAATCATTGCTTCAGCTGAAGAGAAAATAACAGCCTACAATAGTGAGAGAAATACTTTTCGATTTTGAGACTCAAATTTGATTTTTCTTGAAATTATAAAGAGATAATAATCTTGAAAACCAGGCTGTGTTGAGACACAGAAGGATTTCCCATTTTCTAAAGTTTCCCTTACGTATTAAGTGTCAGGCATGGCAGTCTGCACATAGAGCTATAGGAGAAGCCAAACCTTGGGAGGTGGAGGATAAGACAGAGCAAAAGTCCCTGCCATGCTCTCATTTATACAGTGCAGAGCAGAAGAGCAGCATTGGTGGGGAGGTGGCTAGATTGATGGGCCTAAAATAGTGCCCTTCATTGCCTTCTTCCTGTCACAGGCTGAATCATGTAAACAGAGAGCCCTGCCTCTTTCCCTGGGGGAGTGGAGAAGGGCTGGGAAGCCCATGCATTAGGCAGGTTCGGAGTTCAGGTGGAGGAGAGAACACGGCCAGGACTTTGCAACTGGAAGCTGTAGGAAAAAAAACTTTTTTTTTTTTTTTTTTTTTTTTAGCAGTAGGTGATTGTACAATCTCTAGAGATGCCAGGGAAGGTGGGGGCAGCCCAGTATCAGCCCAGAGGACCTGAGACTAGATGGATGGGGACATCTCAAGAGAGGACAGGGAAGACTCAGGGTACCGAATGAGATCAGAGGCCCTTTTGTATTCCCACTGCCATTAGGATACATAAGCTGCCTCCGAATTTACAAACCATTTTGGGAAGTGTCGGGGAAGGGGGTTGAGAGTGGAGAAACACTCTTATGAAGAGTTTAAATTTTGAACTGATTGAATATTGGCCTGAAGGAAACTATAGGCCTTTCTGTTATAACTCCATGCAAAAAACTTTGCTATCTGTAAAACTGCTCAGGAAGAGTAGCAAGCTTTGTAGCAAAATAAGATTAGGGGCAAACTATTAAAAAATTGCTATGACTGGGTAAAGAGAGCACTAACCAAGCAATCATGTGTATCTCAGGGCTAACACAGACTGTCGGGCAGGCAGGCAAATCAGTGGCTTCAGGTTGCTTCAGGGCATAACACATCTGAGAAACAGGAGTGCAAATACATGAGGTTGCTGTTTGAGACAAGGCAGGTGGAAGGGGAGTTCTGAGCTTGGGGAAGATGCTGGTTTATTTATTTATTTATGTACTTATTTAGAGACAGAGTCTTGCTCTGTTGCCCAGGCTGGAGTGCAGTGTGGTGCGATCTTGGCTCACTGTAGCCTCTGCCTCCCAGGTTCAAGCGATTCTCGTGCCTCACCCTCCTGAGTAGCTGGGATTACAGGCGCATGCCACCATGCCTGGCTAATTTTTTGTATTTTTAGGAGAGATGGAGTTTCATCATGTTGACCAGGCTGGTCTTGAACTCCTGACCTCAAGTGATCTGCCTGCCTCAGCCTCCCAAAGTGCTGTGATCACAGGCATGAGCTACTATTTCCCGCTAGGAAGATGCTTATTTAAAAAAACCCACAATTCTTTAGTAGGTGCTCGTTTTTTATTTTCTTAAAATGCAGATTAAAACACTCCTGCCTGTACAACTGTCAAACTGAGGCATTGTCCTTTCCTGCTGATGGATATAATGCTGTTCCTGCTAATTCCTCTTCCCTTGTCAGTGAAAACCACTTATAAACCAAAGCAACTTCTGCATTATACTGACATCATCTTTCTGTCGATCAATTGTGTGTGAGTGATTGGTGTTATAGAAACAGGTGTTCTAGCAGAATAGTGTGTACTTTAAATTGGAAGTTTAATTTATCTGGAAAGTTTAATTTTTCTCACATGATCATGATAATAACGATTTTTAAAAAAGCATATCTGGGTCAAAGTCCGTGAATTTCTATCCAGCCACACACATATTCAAAAGGACAAGTACTAAGCAGAAGGCAGTGTGTGAAAGCAGCCAGGAGGATGAAGGACCTGGAGCGCCTTAGCTGAGGAGCAGGTGTCTGACGTGTTTTCGCCTCAGGAGAAAGGAATAAGCAGAGATGCGACAGCTGTCTCCAAATATTTGAAGGGTTATTGTTTTGAAGGATGACTTGTCTTATATGATATTGCCATAGAGCAGTGACTTTGTTTTAAGTTGAGAAATCCTTTTTTTCCCCTAAGCACAATCATGGATGGAACCACACCAGAGCCCCTCCCCCAAATCCCCACTTTGTCTCTGAGACACCTCTGATTGAATCCCAGGAATCCATAAAACATAGTTCAATAAGTCCCTGCTATAGTGACAAGAGAGTTGCTTGCTATAGAGGACAGAGCAAGGACCAGCAGATAGAAATTTACTCAAGACAGATTGTAACGCTATGGAGAGAATACATTTATAACTGAGTCATTATTCCATTCCATTCCGTTCCATTCCATTCTGTTCTATTCTCCTCTATACCTTCTCTCCTGGCATTTAAACCCACCTTTCTAAAAGGAAAATCTTGATTGCCTACCCTGTGTGAGGCACCCTGAGATGTATTTTTCTCACCTCTAACTCTTGCTCCAGCTTCTTCAAAATTCTTTCGGTTTTATCCTGGGCATCCCCACAGTGTCTCACATATTGCCAGATGGCTTGGGGGTTTTATTCATCTTCCTCTGTCACTGTCTTCCTCCCTCAGGTTTACCAAGTCTGCCAGGCTTAGCCTTGTGCCTGACTTTTTTTTGGATGCCACTTCTGGGTCCAACTGGCACCACTTTCTGCCCAGTGGGCACTCTTGCCTCTTCTGCAAGAACCATGGTGCAATACTGCTGCTTCTGCAGAGAGTAATTCCTCTTTGCAGGTGAGCATTTTTGGGACATTTTAGAATCAACATCCTCTTGCTGGGCACCACCATCTCCCGCCAGATTCTTCCAGGTGTCAAAGCAGTTCTGTCGTGAATAGGAGAAGAATGTTTGTTTTGTGTGATACCTGAGCCCCGATGTTATAAAGAATGTTTAGTCATACAGAAATGTTAGCTTTTACCTTACCTCTCTTTCTCCAGAGAATGTAGATATGAAACCAAAGTCACAGACATACCCAAGAGACCCACTTCAGAATGTGATCAGGACCATCCCTCCTTTCTGATGACCAAGGGTTGTGTACTGGATCAAAACCGTCATTCTTGGCTCTAAGAAGTCTTCTCAATTTTTTGTGCAAATACACATCAGAAAGGCTGGGTCCATTGGTTTGCCAGATATTCCCAGGTATCTGAATAACTCATGTAAAAGCTCTAACACGTAACTATAAAAGGCATACAGTTGCATTGTAAAAAATTTGGAAAATTCAAAAATGCACTCATTATCCCATTACATGATAATATAGAGTGTGTGGAGAGAGGGAAACTAAATGTGAGATCAGGTGACATGAATAGATTTTTTTTGTACACATAATTTTGCATTTTCCTTTGGTGATTCTCTTTGTAACATTGACAGGATAGTTGTGTAGTTTTGCGTGTGTTCTGGATTTGAGGTGATAGAATGATGGCTACACATTTTGACGCTATGACAGTGCTCAGATATTGGTGCCAGAGTATAGTTTGTGTGGGAATATGCAGAGAGCATAAACATGGCAATCAGTGGGAGATACAATTCCATTAAAAATTTTTAATTACACATGGGTTACATTGTTCACATAAGTCAAAGAATCTTATAACTTCAAAAGCTGCATCTGATATGAATTTAAAATTATTCAAGGTACTTAGGCTGTATTTTATTTACAAAAATATTTTTACTAAATAATGATTGGATGGGTGCACACTCCTCCTGGCACTGAGAATACAGGCCAGGTTATCAAGAGCATCTCCTCCCACCTCCAACCTCAATGTGGCCCTAGCAAGCAGGGGCAGTTCTTTCACTCACACTTCTGACACCTACTCATGTTATTCACTGTATTCATCCCATGACAAGAAAAGATTCTGCTGCATATAATCTGGTGCCTGCTAAGGAGAGTGGGCCCTGGTAACTGCATGGGTGAATTTGATGGGGGTGATGAGATGGGTTCGAAAAAGCTGAGAGAACAAAATTGCTGTTCATTAAGAAGATGGGGAGACTGAGAGGAAAAGAGCCCAGATAAGACAAAGGAGAGAAAGCTCTAGAAGGAAATTGGAGTGCAGAGCCAAATTTGCAAGAAAGCATGCAACCTAGAGGTGAGATGATTGACTGGGAAACAGTTGTTATTGGGGCTTTTGGATTGAGGCTGAGGAGTTGACACTCTCCACACTCCTTTCCTTTCCACAGGTCAGAGGAGCAATGTGTGCCCAACATTGATCACCGAATGGAGCAAGAGAGGAGACAGGAGAGGGAAAGGCGCTGTGGCTTACAGGAGCTGCCAGGCTCTCATTCGGCTGTCTTCCCCACTTCTGCTTTCTCATCTGTCTTCCTCTCCTCGTCATATGCTCTGCAATCTGAGCTCCATCACAATCAGAGGACTAAACCTGCCACCTTACCTCAAACATATTTTTCTTTAACCCTGTTGTTCTCTCTGCCTGGAGCATCTCCTCCCTTCATGCATTGTGTGTGCAGATGCCACTGCTTCTGGAATTGTTTCTGAGTCTGCCTCAACCCCTGACTGAGGTCAGTGCTCCTCTTCCACCGTGGCACTCTCTGGCTACTGCTGGTTGGATGGCCTGCTTCCTCCCCTAGGCCTTAAAGGAAATCTTTGCTGGCTGGGACAAACCATGCCTATTCACCTTTTTATCTCAAAGCCTAGTGGAGTGCCCAATAAGAATTCAAGAAATATTTAATAGGTGGAAGAGTGAATGGATGAATGAACGGAGCGACAATGCATGAATAGTGGTGTTAATCAGTTTTCCCTCCAAACCTGCTCTTCTCTGTATCAAACAAGGTCCAGTTAGGGGGAAAAAATACCATAAACAAGAAACCTGACAAACTGGATATTTAAAGCAAAGGGGAATAGATGTCATTAATCGCACACCATTGGAAGAAGTGCTGAGGTGACTGACATGCATAACCACAGGAATTAGTTACTAATCTAGGACTAGGAAAGAGAAAGGAAGAGGTGGGTTAGCAGAATCTGGGGACGCCTCAGTGTTGGCGATCAGAATCCCAAGAAGGGTCAAGGTCAGGTGAGTGCTGGACCTCCAGAGGAGTGTGGCCTAATGGGTGCTTATGCCTCTGAGGAGAGGGCATGATCTGGTGAATGCAGACCATGGAAGGGCCTGGCTCCATGGGTGAGGAAGGATGGCATGGCTAGCACTGAACTCCCAAAAGTGCTGGGCCTCATGCCTGCAGGTGCCTCTGCAGGGGCATGGAAAAGCTGGCACTGGGAGTATTGAAGAACCTGGAGGCTGAGCCAGCCACCTGTGGCTGCGGGAGCATTGCCAGAAGGGACTAGAAACAGAAGGGATGTCCCTTCTCTCCTCTTCCCACCTTCCAATCCCTCTGGTGCCTCTCATTAGCAGAACCTAATAGAGGGCCAGCTGGCAAGCTAGTCTAGGCTCACCACTGCAAAGTATAGCAGGACTTGGAGCTCAGAGAAAGTAGGCAAATAACTAGTCTTGTCTATCCTCTTGGTTAGTCAGCATCAGTCCCCATCCTTCTAACCAATTATAAGAGCTCCGTGCTCTGCCTAATAAGATGCAATTATCCCTCATACAAATGAAGACTGTATTACCTTCTAACCAAAAGAGATTTCCTGTAACAATCATATGCATATCTACATATCTATCTGAATACTCTGTAAACTAAAGATGACGTTATAAACTTAATCATGAATAGTAGAACTTAAGTAAAATAATAGGGGAAAAAAGGAGGGGGAAGAAATGAATTAACATTATATATATATATATATATATATATATATAGATAGATAGATAGATACACACAAATTAAGCAAAGGTAGATACACACACACAAATTAAACAAAGGTAGACATTCATAAGAGTCACATTTCTATAACTATTCATGAGGTCATCACTAATATCAATTCCTCTTCCACTGTCTATTTGTCTATTTGATGTTACATTCGTTGTAAGCTAGCAACTCAGCTTGTAGAGTCTCTCTCTCTTGTTTTTTAAGATACAGGCTTTTGCTCTGTTGCCCAGGTGCACACACCATATCCAGCTGATAGATTTTTTAAAATTCCATTTTTTCAGAGATGGGGGTCTCCCTGTATTTCCCAGGCTGATCTCAAACTCCAGGGCTCAAGCTCTCCTCTACCTCAGCTTCCCAGAGTGCTGGGATTACAGGTGTGAGCCACTGCACCCGGCCAAGACTTCTTACCTGAAAGCCTTCATTCTTTAAGGGGCCTGAATTCCCAGAGGTCTTGCATTTATTGAGTTGATATGGTTTTCCAAAATGTTGCACCGAGGAGTATAAGAGACACCCTTAGAAGACCACAGGCTCTGGGACTAGTTTTCTCTGTCTTCTTGAGTAGTAGAACCCAATTTTCCCAGCCAGTATAAAATTCCTTTTTAGCCTTTTGGTTTAGTAGCATCAGAAGCTTCAAATGGTCATCTACGCCTACGTGGAATACTTTCTCTTTGTAAATGAAAATTCCTAAATCAACAGAGCTCAAAGGTGTAGAGACAGGTAACAAACATTATCTCAGTGGATTGCTAGTGTAGCTGTAGGAGAATCCATTCCCAAGTTCTGCCCCTTGATTCTGGCTGTGGGATAAATTGCACCACACATTGATCACTGGTTCAAAGCATGTATTTCACTCTATTGGATAGAACCCCAACCTTTCAGGGTTTTCTCTTCCAGCTGGCCTCTAATTGGCCATTCTACCATTTGATCAGAGCAGCTGCTTCTGGGAGATGTGGCACATGGTAAGACCATGTACATGGGCCCATTGCTATACTTCTTTTGCCATGGAATAAATTCCTTGTTTAGAAGCAAATATTGTCTGGGTATGCCATGATGATGAATAAGATGTAATAAAAGTCCAAGGATAATGAGATGGCAAAAACATAACAGGAAAGAGAAATCTGTACTGTAATACATATACTTTCTAATGAGCACACGTGGCTGGCTGCCCTTTATGATGAAGAGTTTCAATATGAGTAATCAGCTACCAGGTGGTTCTCTGGTTTCCTGGAAAAATGATAGTATATTAATGGCTCCCTTTTGGTTTCTGCTCTTGGCAGGTTAGACACTTAGTAGTAGCAATTGTCAGTTCAGCCTTGGAAAGTGTGATTCCCTGCTGCCAAGCTCCTCCACACTCTCTGTCTGCCACTCTGGATGGCTGGGGAAAGTGACTTCCTGCCACAGAACATGTCACCTGGGATATCTGAATATTGAGAGCCTCTTCTTGTAGCAGATATTCCCTGATGACCCCATGACACCCTCATTTCATGAAATCATAAATAAAGCAGTGATTGGAGCAGCAGCATACTATAAAAACTCAGCAGTGGCTGCCTCTCTAAGCTGGGGTGATAGTGGGAGATGTTGCCGTTGTGATGAGGATGAAGGGATCCTATGGGGGCAGAGCACAAGCACTAGCATTTAATTGCCAGTAAAAAGGTATCATCAAAGTAGAAGTAGTTAATAGCAACAGGGATATATTGATAGTCAGGATACTTATATCTACAAGGTCTTTGGTGGTGGCTAATCAATCACCTGTCCATAGAAATGAAAGAGATAGGCAGCCTACCAGAGTATTACTTGATCTTTATAACTGGAAAAATTCCTAGTGTAGTGGATAGAAATCTGACTTGAGTTGTCACAATAGGGAGTCATAACCTATCAACTGGTTCTGTGCTCTAAGCCCATCCAAAGATACTGAACTTTTTTTTCCCATTCTGTTCTTTGTTGCATCCTCAGTCAATAGTAAGGGCTCATAAGTATGTTTTGAATGAATGGATACATGAATGAATGAATGGATATAAAAGGATAGACGTAAGAAAAAAATGAGAATGAAAAACTAAGAGGATTTTTTTGATTCAATTTGAAGAATGGATTAAAGCCTCAACCTGAAGCTTTGCGTGCTGAGGAAGATGGTGACAGCATTAACAGAAATGGGAAATTCAGCAAAAGGAACTTATTAGAGATGGCAGAGAGTAAAAATATGAGAAATTCAACTTTTAAAGATGAGTCTGAGAATCGATGTAGTCTTTAGTAAAGACTTCAGAGGTCAGACACAGTGTCAGCTTTTAACTTATCTGGTCAAAGCCACCCAGTTGGGTGAGGATCGTGGCCCCATCATGACATGTGCTAAAGACTGTCCATACGATAGGCTCACCCACCCCAGATTCCCACCCTGCTCCATGCTCATTACCTTCTGAACCTGCGCAGGTGTCTGAGTGGAGCAGTCAGACAGAAATGTTCACACAGAGAACTCTTTATTACCTCTGACAGATGCGTTTTAGCCCCATCGCTTCCAAACAGAGCTCCTGTAAGGCTGCCCAGCATTGTTGCCAGGTATTGCCATGGAAACCATAGACCATCCCATGAGAGTTAGAGGCACGTAAGCAAAAGCAGTGTGAGAATAGATTTTTTTGAGGCTCTGGTCCCTCTGATTTCATACCTGACGGGACTGTATGTGTGTTCCCCTGGAGGGACACAGGAGTAAAGCAAATCGGAAGAATTGGGTTATTAGTGGTTTTCAGGAACAGACTAACTAACCAAGGAAAATGCCTTTCAGAGAAGCAGGGTCACAAGTTACTCTCCAAAGCATAATAATGTTTTTCTTATTTTCCTCTAAATATAGAACTATCATGGCTGACACTTCTTTTGGAAAAGAATGAAGCAATACATATCCCTTGTGTTTTTGACATTGTAAAGATAACTTTAGTAGAAATGGCTTTCTATTCCAGCCATTAACTCAACCACACCAAAATTACCTTGGCTCCCTTAGACTGAGGGTGGAGAGGGGCACTGATAATGGGCATTATCTAGCACAAGGATTTTTTGTTTCTCAGCTTGAAGCCAATGGAGGTATTAGTATTGCTTTGTCCTCTTGAGCTGGGCAGTGTATTCGTATGTTAGCATTCATGGAGCTGTACACCAAGGATGTGCATATGGCTGTGTGTAAGTTGTAGCTTGATGAAATACTGTCAGCACAAAAAAAATGGAAAACAAAGTATTGTTAATCATTCAAAGCAAAAATTTTTGTTGCTGATTTTTTAAAAGGTGAGTTTATGTGGCCACCTAGAACCATGCAACTTTAATTTTGAAATGTCAGTTGCAGTATTAGAAAGATTTTCTCAGAATTACTAAGGACCTTCATTGTGCTAAGGGCTGCACAAATATTTATTGAGCAGTTACTCTGGGCTGGGGTTTAAATGTCTTTGCTTTTGATCTATCCATTCCTCTTGGCTTTTGTGTACCCAGCCAGGTATGCCTCTCCCACCTCAGACAAGTATATCTGCATGTGGCCTCTACACACAACTCCTCATCCAGCCCATGTTCCTCCCCCAACAACTGGAGGGAAACTCATGATTCAACAGTAAAATTCCAGATGAAATTCTGAGGCTGGTCAGTCATGTCAGTTAATCTCTTGCTCATTTATCAGGTTCCCTCCTTCTCTGGCAACTATCCCTGTGATTAGCATGACAATTGAAGGTAGAAACTCCTGTTCATTTCTTCCCTTTCCTTGGCCCCATTCTAAATCTCATTTTGCTTCCATCTGCACCTCTGCTATCTGGTCAAGAGATAGCACTCAATATATAGTAAGGGTTCATTAATTTTTGTTTATTATCTTCACTTGCTTTCATTGTTCTTCCTCTTCCCTCTACATCCTTGTCTTAACTGAAAGTTGGTTGCATATGTTTCTCAATATCATAAAATTGAAGATTAGTTTCATTCTTTCAAAAAATGTTGAGAAACTGTAATATATTAGCCACTATGCTAAAGATGTAACTCTAATAGCTCCTGCTCCCAGGTAGCTTATGTTCTAATGAGTGAAATTCAGATAAAAAAGCAAATACGATAACTTAAAGTCACAATAAAAGTATGTAAGGACACAAACAAGAAGCTAAGACCAACAGATTTTGGGGTGATTGCAGAAGTCCTTTTAGAAATACAATTTCAGCTGAGACATAAGGCACGAGAAAGAGTTTGTCCATTTAAAGAGGGAGGAAAGAGCATTCCAAAAAAATATAACATAGATAAGAGTCCTGAGGTGCGAGGTAGTGTGGGTCTCTTCTAGAAATTGCATGACCATGACCACTATCGTGGCTGGAGCTTGGCGAGTGTGGAGAAAGTGCTTTTGAGATGTAAGTCAGAGAGAAGAGGAGAGACAGAATCGTGCATTTGGAATAGGAATCCATGGAAGATTTCAGGGACAGACTTATATGATCCAATTTCTATTATAATAAGTTCATCCTGGCAGGCAAGTGGAGAATGAGACAGGTAAGAAAGGAAGCAAAGGATACAAGTGAGGAAAATGCTGTTATTGCCTTGGACGGAGATGACAGGCTGTAGTAAGGGAGTTGCAGTAGAGGTGAGCAGAGAACACAGACTTTAGATACATTCATATTATAAATTGAAGAGACTGGATGGCAGGAGTGAAGCAAATGAAAAACAGAATGTTCCCTATGTTTCCAACTTGAATTGAGTGGGAAATAGTACCAGTTACTGAGGAGAGGAAGACACAGGAAGGGGAAGGGCAGTTTGGGGGGCTTTTTTAGAAGTCCGTGAGACATCCAAGGCAAGGTATCAAGTAGGTAATAAAAAGGAAATTCTAAAGCTCAAAGAAATGATCTAAGCTGGAGATATAAATGTGAGACTCATCAGCATACAGATGGTTTATGCATTGATGGGAAATGTTCAATTCATGTAACATTTCAGCCTAAAGAGAAGTTTCCATTGGCTTCACAACATGAAGATCTTTGATGACCTTGACAAAGTGGGTTTCAGTGGGACTGGGATAGAGGTTGGTACATGATGGCTTGGAGGGTGCATGGGAGATGAAGTAGGGAGAGCCTCAGTAGACAGTTTTTCCCCCCAAAATTTGGCTATGAAGTGGAGAAATGGGCCACTGGATGGCAATGGATATGGGAATGTGCATGTGTGTGTATGTGTGTGTGTGTTACATACCCTTTTTAAAATTGAGTGATACATATACCAGTACAGATTAGGGAAAGTTAATGATGGGGGAAATGGAAGAAGCCAAGTTTCTGAGAAGAAAAAAAGGGATGTGTGCAGCTGCCCTTTAATGGAAGCGGGGATATTCCCCCCATTGCAATAGGAGAAAGAGGATGAGTACATGTGTTTTTAAGTTGGTAGTTTCGGGGTTGGCAGATGTATGTGTTCAGATGTGATGTCTTCTTTTTCCTTAGAGTATAAGCAAGGTCATGAGCAGTGAGTGACTGTCAAGTTGGGCTATGATAAATTTGAAGAGAGTGAGTGAGACATAAAATGTTTGCGTAGTGGAGGGCAATATGAGTCTACTAAAGAAATGTGGTTGATTTTTGTTTGCCTGGTTTTTTGTTTGTTTTTGGCAGTGCTGACCAGTTAACTACCTTTGTGGTTTTTTCCATCAACATTTGGCTTCTTGGGTACAGGCACAGAAAGGTGGAATGTAGGATTTATTCAGAAGTAGGTTGTGGCAGATGACTACAGAGGTATCAGAGGACATGGTGAGATGTTTGGAAGAATCCTAGAGGTAGAGCTCCTGGAGTCTTGGTTTTCCCAGGCCTGAAGTTGGCAGCAGAGTCCCAGCCTTGGCAGCAGAGATTTTCTAGGGTCAGGAGGAAGGACTTGCATTTTCCTGGCTTCTCTTATGTTTTCAGACCTCTGTTCTGCAGCTTTCCTGGCAGTTCTGAAACAATTTAAATTAGAATTCCTTTACTGATATAGAACTTCATCTATATGCCTCCTTAGCCTTCCCATCCATTCTCTGAGGACTGCAGCAGTTTTCCTGCAGTCTGCCGCTTCTCTCTAGCCCATGTCATTACTCTGGTTGACTTCAATGTCCTTTCTGATTACCTATTTAACAACTGAATCTCTCAGTTCCTTAAAATTATTTCATCTAAGAACTTTCTGGTTTTTTTTACATTAATGAATTAATTTAATCACAAGTAGCTATACCTGGAGCCTTGTCACATATAAAATGACTCAATCTTTGAAATCCTGAATTTTGAAATCCTTTTTCTGCTTTCTTTTTCTTTTTGTAACCCATTCTTTAGCCTCATTGGACATCTGTTCTTGTGAGTCCTTGCTGTTCCTTTAGATTCTTCCTTTCCTCCCATCCGGATTTGTGAAAAATCACCCACCCAACATGCTCACCAATGTTCTTAGTCCCAGTAACCCAGTGATTTCCAGTAGCACCTGCCTTTCTCATCATGCACTCAGGAAAAACCTCCCATTTGTTGGCTGGTTTGTTACCCTTTCTTGCTCAGGGCTACAGAATGTGTTAGAGGAAAATCATGTAACAGTGGTAATTGCTTGAATTCCAGACATGGTTTCTACACTCAGCTGGCTCCATGATGCTGCCCTCCTCTCCATTCTCTCTGTCCCTCCCCTTGTTCCTCTTTTGTTATCTCTTGGCTAGACCATTACAACAATCTCTTCACTATTCTCCTTTAGAGTCTCTATTTCTGATATTATGTTATTTTCTTTTTCTAGGGATTATTTTCCAAATTGCAGATTAGATCACTCATTCCCTGCTTTAAAATCCCTGAGAGCAGACTAAGATTTAGAACATTAGGTAGAAGCTCTTTAGGGTTTCATTCAGGAATCAGTGTCCTTCATGATTTGCATCTAACCTACTTGTCTAGTCTGATTTCTCCACGTTTCTAACCCCTCCTCCCATTCCCCACTCCCATACACTACACCAGACCATTCTGTTTTCCTCTACCATACTCTGTATTCACCCTCACACTGTTCCTCCTGCCTGGAGTGAAAGCTTCTTTCTTCTCCTCATCTGTGGAACTCTTGTTTTAAGCTCTCAATCAAATGCCGTCTCACCTGGGGAGTCATCTGTACTTCCCACTGTGAGACAAAGTAGCATAGGTAAGAAGTCATATTTGCTCATTTCTGCTTGCCAGTGTGATTTCACAAAGGCTCTGACTCTGTGACCACATGCAGTTCTCTGGAGATATGCTTTGCAAACCAAACAGGATAGAGCACACGGTGTCCCACATCTCTTGCCTGAGTTACTATATATCTTAAAAGATAAATGACCCTAGTTCTTGCCTTTTCCTACGCGTAAGATAATGTCTGACAAAGTTAGTGATTATGCCTCTATAATCTATAACTGGATATACTCTTACACCCAAATGTATATATCTACAACCAGATATACTCTTACACCCTTGATGTGATTCCTCTTTACTGTAACTTCTGAACAAGTTTGATATGATTTTACACACACTAAACCTTCATTATCTATATAGCCCACTGCTAAAACACTGGGCTGGCGCAGTCTGATAGAACCTCAGATACAACCTCTCTAAAGGGCTGCTTCTGGGCTATAGGCCTCAGTCTATAGTCCTTAGTAAGACTTTTAAATAAAATTAGCTTTAAATCTTTAAAAGCTTGATTTTTTTTATCGGTGCATGGTGGCTCATACCTGTAATTTCAGCACTTTGGGAGGCTGAGGTGGGAGAATCACTTGAGGCCAGGAGTTGGAGACCAGCCTGGACAATATGTAAGACCCCGTCTCTACAAACAAACAAAGGAAAAATAGTCTGATTTTTTTTCTCTTTAGTTGACACCAGGTAAAAGAGTCATTCCTTCCTTTGTGTGCCCATGCATTTCACTTGCCACTAGAATTGTGCTTATTGCATTTGTTAGGTTTGTTTATGTATGTACCTGTTTTGTTTGCTCTGCTGCTCAACGCTTAAAAACTTCTTTTTTGTCATCTCTCTAGTCCTCAGAGTTTATCAATGTGGTTGGTATATGGTAGTTACTTGATACATACTTTTTGACTGAGTGATGAATGTATATATAATACTTTGGGGGCCAATACAGAAGGTAGCAGAACTTAAGGACATAGTTCCTGATTTCAAAACACTAACATAGCAGAGACTCTAGATCTACCCCTAAAACACACAAGACTGTAAGACAGACTAGGATGCAGTTAAAGTAATGGTGCAGACAGTGGGTCCACGAGGAACTCAGAGGGAGAGAAATTGTCATTGTCTGCTTAGGCTGCCGTAACAAAACACCATAGACTGAGGTAGCTTAAACAACAGACATTTATTTCTCACAGCTCTGGAGTCTGGAAGTCTGGGATCAGGGTGCCAGCATGGTTGATTTCTGGTGAGGGCTCTCTTCCAGACTTAAAAACTTCTGCCTTCTGTCTGTGTCCTTAATGGCAGAGAGGGGGCAAGCTCTCTGGTTTCTGTTCTTAGAAGGGCATAATTCCATCAGAAGGGCGCCACCCTGGTGACCTCATCTAAACCTAATTATCTCTCAAAGGCCTCATCTCCATAGTCCATGACATTGGGGGTTAGAGCTTTAACAAATAAATTTGGCGGGTGGGAACAGAAGACACAATTCAGTCCATAACGGAAGGTAAGTTTTGGGCACCGCTGATTTAGGTTTGGAAACAAAGACTTGCTAATTCAGTGTCCTTCATTCCTGGACAGATCCCTTGAAAGACATCTTCTCCCATGCCATCTTATTTCCTGGGATTATGTGAAAGAAGATGATAGCTTCTGTGGACATTCCCAGAGGAATAATTTCACAAAGTGGAGCTTGTATCTCACTTCGCAAAAAAATGCTCCTTCTCTTGTTATTTTTAGGTTGGATTTGAGCTGCGACACCCAAATATGTAGAAGGAACAAACATACAAACTGTATCTTAATGCATCTTGGATTTTGGATTTTCTTCTTTTTGCAGTTTAGCAGTTTCCCTCTCTCTGCTTGGGGAGAGAGAAAGTAGGGCTGCTGCCAACAGCTGAGCAAAATGTAGAGAAATGTCAACCATACACACAGCTGTCTCTATTGCTTACTCTCAAATACAGAACTGGGGCTGACCTTACAAGAGAAAAGAGTTTGTATTCTGTGGCTCAAAGGCTGCTGAGTAAGCTTCTCCTTCTTTTTCTTGTCCATTGGTATCCACTGTTCACTTAATTTTTTCCAAACACTCCCTTGGGCCATTCCCATGTTAAATTTTTCCTTTCCGATGATAACAATGCTTATTCTTTCACTTTTTTCTGCTTATAAAAGTAACAATGATAATTTACAGACGATTTGGAAAATACAGGAAAGCATAAAGAGGCCGGGTCCGGTGGCTCGCGCATGTAATCCCAGCACTTTGGGAGGCTGAGGCAGGTGGATCATGCGGTCAGGAGACTGAGACCATCCTGGCCAACATGATGAAACCCCGTCTCTACTAAAAATACAAATATTAGCTGGGAGTGGTGGTATGTGCCTGTAGTCCCAGCTACTCGGAAGGCTGAGGCTGCAGAATTGCTTGAATCTGGGAGGCAGAGGTTGCAGTGAGCCAAGGTCGTGCCACTGTATTCCAGCCTGGCAACAGAGCGAGACTCTGCCTCAAAAACAACAACAACAACAACAACAACAACAATAAAAAGCATAAAGAAAAATAAAAATCACTCACCGTTTCATCATCCAGAAATAACGGGTGTTACCATTGGGTGTATTCCTGTGGTCTTACATATCTGTGTGTACATATGTGTGATTTTCTTCTGCCAATAAAAGGGTATGGGCTCAAACTATATACACTTCTGTGTATTCTGCTTTTAGGCTCCTTTAATGATTTCCCCAATGCCTTTGGGGAAAGGACTACTCTAGTCCAGCATTCAAAACGCTCATAACCTTCTCCAACTGCTTTACTAGCCTTATCCAAACTCTTTCACAGATGGATGGGTTGACTTATTTGGCCCTCCCTGCCTGTGCTCTATTACTGCTCATCTAGAATTCCCTTCCTGTTCTCTCCATGTCCCAGAGTCCTGCCATATTTCTAAGCCTAGCTAAACCCCACCTTCTGTGTGAAGTTTCCCTGGAAACAAATCTGTAAGTGATTTTCTTTTCTTCCAAATTCTTCCAGACTGCTCCCTCCACCTGGTGCTTTCACCCAGATGGCTCAGTCTTTACATTTTTCAGGTGTTTGCTTTTCCAAAAGAACTTTCTGAGACTTCACAACTGTATTTTTATCCAAACACCTCTATCCCTCTGTCCTGCTTATTTTCCTTCAAAGCAGTTATCTTTATCTGATAGCTAATGTGTTTTGACTTTTTATTTTTTGATTGATTGATGGTCTTTCTCTTGCCACAAAACTGTAAGCTCCTTAAAAGCAGAGTTTTTTCCTCTTCACTGCTGTATCCCTAGACAGTGGAACAGTGTCTGCCACATAGTAGGTGCTCCACAAGTGTTTAAGAGAAAGGAGACTGGGGTGAGGCAGTATCTCATTGTGGCTTTGATTTGCATTTCTCCAATGATCAGTGATGTTGAGCTTTTTCTGATATGTTTGTTGGTCATATATGTATGTCTTCTTTTGAGAAGTGTCTGTTCATGTCCTTTGCCTATTTTTTAATGGGGTTGTTTCTTTTTTTCTTGTAAATTTAAGTTCTTTGTAGATGCTAGATGACTTTTGTCAGATGGATATATTTCAAAATTTGTCTCCCATTGTGTAGATTTTCTGTTCACTCTGATGATAGTTTCTTTTGCTATGCAGAAATTCTTTAGTTTAGTTAGATCCCATTTGTCAATTTTTGCTATTGCTTTTGGCATCTTCATCATGAAATCTTTGCCCATGCCTATGTCCTGAATGGTATTGCCTAGATTTTCTTCTAGGGTTTTTATAGTTTTGGGTTTTACATTTAAGTCTTTACTCCATCTTGAGTTGATTTTTGTATACAGTGTAAGGAAGGGATCAGCTTTCATTTTTCTGCATATGGCTAGCCAGTTCTCCCAGCACCATTTATTAAATAGGGAATCTTTTCCTCATTACTTGTTTCTGTCAGGTTTATTGAAGATCAGATAATTGTAGGTGTGTGGTCTTGTTTCTGGGTTCTTTATTCTGTTCCATTGGTCTATGTGTCTATTCTTGTACCAGTACCATGCTGATTTGGTTACTGTAGCCTTGTAGTATAATTTGAAGTCAGGTAGCATGATGCCTCCAGCTTTTTTTGTTTGTTTGTTTCATATTGTCTTGGCTATTTGGACTCTTTTTTGGTTCTGTATGAATTTTAAAATAGCTTTTTCTAATTCTGTGAAGAATGTCGGGGTAGTTTAATGAGAATAGCATTGAATCTGTAAATTGCTTTGGGGAGTATGGCCATTTTCATGATGTTGATTCTTCTTATCCATGAGCATGCTGGCAAGGTTGTGGAGAAAAAGGAATGCTTTTACACTGTTGGTGGGAGTGTAAATTAGCTCAACTATTGTGGAAGACAGTGTGGTCCTTGAAGACCTAGAGGCAGAAATACAATTTGACTCAGAAATCTCATTACAAGGTATATACCAAAAGGAATATAAATCATTCTATTATAAAGACACATGCACACATACAGCACTATTCACAGTAGTAGGTTGGAACCAACCTAAATGCCCATCAATGATAGACCGGATAAAGAAAATGTGGTACATATATATACATCATGGAATACCATGCAGCCATAAAAAAAGAATGAGCTCATGTCCTTTGCAGGGACATGGATGGAGCTGGAAGCCATTATCCTCAGCAAACTAACACAGGAACAGAAAACCAAATACTGCATGTTCTGACTTATAAGTGGGAGCTGAATCATGAGAACACATTTACACTTTGGGGGAACAACACACACTGGGGCATGTCAGAGGGTTGGGGTATGGAAAAGGAACAGCATCAAGAAGGATAGCCCATGAGTGATGGGCTTAATACCTAGGTGATGGGATGATCTGTGCAGCAAACCACCATGGCACATGTTAAACTATAATAAACCTGTACATCCTGCACACGTATCCCTGAACTTAAAATATAAGTTGGAAAAAAAAAGAGAAAGAAGGAAGAAATTAGTGCTTGTCATTTGGAACTTAGTATAAATCATGTTGTATTTTTCATGAATGTGCACATTATCTCCCATCAAGAACACAAGTACATGTTATCTATTATCAAGAATGTAAACCTCTAATGTATGGCCTATTTATATTTTCTATGTATCTCTTGTCCTTTAAGTTCTTTGTATAGTGTCTTGCATGTAGAGGGAATTACAGAATGTAAGCTCCATGAGGAGCTTTGATTTTGTCAGGAAATTTTGTTTTAACAAGAATCTTTATTTTATCATTTGCTGATATGTGCCAAAGAGAAATCAGGAAAGAGAAACTAGAATGGAAAAGACTGGTTCTCTACAGGGGTGGGGTAGAAAGAGGTGTAAGGCAGGGGAAGAGCAGTTGGGTTGACGAGGGAATGAAACCTCTGTGATTATGTATTTTTGAGTAGCTTTGACTTATAGTCATAGGAATATTTCATATACCTAAAAATAAACAACAATGAAAACCAACCAGGTTGTGAGGGGAACCCAAACTGGAATACAAATACTAACAAGGCTATTGAAAATGAACAACATAACCACAATGAGGTGGGTGTAAAAGAAAAAAAAACTAAACTCTAGTAACTGTGGAAGACATAATGTTGATTGGACCTCATACTAAAGCAAAAAAAAAAAAAAAAAAAAAAAAGAAAAAACTATATGTGGATGCTGTAATCTTGTTAGCAAAAGTAGGTAGGTTCCTTTTCAAAAATTATGAACCAGCAATCCTGAAACTTCTTTATACCTATATTAGAATTGACTAAATAAGTAAATAGATTATAAATGATGAAAATTTTGTTTTACTCTGTTAGAAAATAAGAAGTTATCAATAAGAAAAGGGGAAGGCTAAAATAAATCCTGTGGTGTTTGATTAAAATTAGTTATCAGTACAAACTAATGAAATTTACTATACACACATGCAGATGGAAATATAAATATAAGTATATGTGGATGGGTGGGTGATATGGTTTGGCTCTGTGTCCCTACCCAAATCTCATCTCCAATTATAATCCCCATGTGTTGAAGGAGGGACCTGGTGGGAGGAGATTGAACCATGGGAGTGGTTCCCCCGTGTTGTTCTCATGATAGTGAGGGAGTTCTCACGTGATCTGATGGTTTCAAAAGTGGCAGTTTCCCTTGCATGCTCTCTCCTGCCACCATGTAAGATGTGCCTTGCTTCCCCTTTACCTTCCACCATGATTGTAAGTTTCCTGAGGCCTCTTCAGCAATGCAGAACTATGAGTCAATTAAACCTCTTTCGTTTATGAATTACCCAGTCCCAGGTAGTATCTTTATAGCAGTGTGAGAATGGACTAATACAGAGAATTGGTACCTGCAGAGTGGGGTATTGCTCTAAAGATACTACCTGAAAATATGGAAGCAACTTTGGAACTGGGTAACAGGCAGAGTTTGGAACAGTGGGGAGGACTCAGAAGAAGATAGAAAGATGTGGGCAAGTTTGGAACTTCCTGGAGACTTGTTGAATGGTTTTGACCAAAATGCTGATAGTGATATGGACAATGAAGTCCAGATTGAGAAGGTCTTAGATGGAGATAAGGAACTTATTGGGAACTGGAGTAAAGATCATTCATGCTATGCTTTAGCAACTGGTGGCACTTTGCCCCTACCCTAGAGATCTGTGGAACTTTGAACTTGAGAGAGATAATTTAGGGTATCTGGCAGAAGAAATTTCTAAGCAGCAAAGCATTCAAGATGTGACCTGGCTTATTTTGAAAGTGTTCAGTTAAATATGTTCACAAAGAGAGGGTTTGAAATTGGAACTTATGTTTGAAAGGGAAGCAGAGCATAAAGTTTCAGAAAATGTGCAACCTGAGCATGTGATAGAAAAAAAAATTTTGGGGGGAGAAATTTACATAAGTAATGAGGAGCTGAATGTTAATAGTCAAGACAATGGAGAAAATGTCTCCAGGGCATATCAGAGACCTCTCATCACAGGCCCAGAGGCCTAGGAGGGAAAAATGGCTTTGTGCGCTGGGCCCAGGGCTCAGGGCCCTGCTGCTCTGTGAAGCCTCAGGACTTGGTGCCCTGCATCCCAGCCACTCCAGCTCCAGCTGTGGCTAAAAAAGGACCAATATACAGCTCAACCTGTTGCTTCAGAGAGTGCAAGCCACAAACCTTGGCAGCTTCCATGTGGTGTTGGACCTGGGGTATAGAGAAGACAAGAGTTGAGCTTTAGGAGCCTCAGCCTAGATTTCAGAGGATGTATGGAAATGCCTGGATGTCCAAGAAGAAGTCTGCTGCAGGGGTGGAGCTGTCACGGAGAACCTCTATTAGCACAATGTGGAGGGGAAATGTAGAGTTGGGGCCCCCTCGCAGAGTCCCCACTGGGGCTCTGCCTAGTAAAGCTGTGAGAAAAGGCCACTGTCCTCCAGAACCCAGAATAGTAGATCCACTGACAGCTTGCCCTCTGCACCTAGAAAAGCCACAGACACTCAGTGCCAGCTGCATGAGGTGTACCCTACAGAGCCACAGGGGTGAAGTTGCCCAAGGCCATGGGAGCCCACACTTGCATCAGCATGCCTTGGATGTGAGACATAAAATCAAAGGAGATTTTGGAAGTTTAAGATTTAATGACTGCTGGGCTGGGTTTTGAGCTTGCATAGGGCCTGTGGCCTCTTTGTTTTGGCCATTTTTTTCCCATTTGAAATGGGAACATTTATCCAATGCCTGTACCCCCTTTGTATCTTGGAAGTAACTAACTTGTTTTTGATTTTATGGGTTCGTAGGCAGAAGGGACTTTCTTTTTCTCCGATGAGACTTTGGAGTTGGACTGTTGAGTTAATGTTGGAATGAGTTGAGACTTTGGTGGACTGTTGGGAAGGTATGATTGGTTTTGAAATGTAAAAAGGACATAATATTTAGGAGAGGCCAGGGACAAAATAATATGGTTTGGCTCTGTGTGTCTACCCAAATCTCATCTCCCATTATAATCCCCATGTGTTGAGAGAGGGACCTGGCGGGAGGAGATTGAATTATGTGAGCAGTTCCCCCATGCTGTTCTCATGATAATGAGGGAGTTCTCACAAGATCTGATGATTTTAAAAGTGGCAGTTTCCCCTGTCACTCTCTCTCTTTTCCTGCTGCCATATAAGGTGTGCCTTGCTCCCCCTTCACCTTCCACCATGATTGTAAGTTTCCTGAGGCCTCTCCAGCCATGCAGAACTGTGAGTCAATTAAACCTCTTTTGTTTATGAATTACCCAGTCTCAGATGGTATCTTTATAGCAGTATGAGAACAGGCTAATACAGTGGGCTAGAATATATACATTCACATTCTAGCTCTATCTACCAAGACAACCAAGAAACTCTAATGTTTAGCTGCCAGATATTGGTTTCTAAACACAAATCTTTAATAAAAGGAGCCATGGTGATAGGATTCTGGGAAGACAGTGGTGTAGGAAGCACCAGGAATCTGTCTCCCCACCTAGACAGCAGTTTCATTGACAGAATCTGGCTGATGTAACTGTTTTGGAACTCTGAAACCTATTGAAGGCTTGCAACTTCCTGGGGAAGGCTTGAATAGTAGGCAAATGGTGGTTAATTTCAGCCCTTAGCATAATGGCAGCTACCCATCCCCACACGTTCCTGAAGCAGCTTGCACACTGTTTGCAGAAGTCAGAGTGGGCAAAAAAGACCCTGTCCTCACAGAAGGAGAAGAGAGAGAATAGGGCAAAGAGAATATTTGAAGAAATAATGACTGAAAACTTCCCAAGTTTGATGAAAAACACAAATATAAACATCCAAGAATTTCAATAAATACCAAGAATGATTAACTTAAAGAGACCTACACTGAGACACATTGTATTCAAACTGTCGAAAGACAAAGACAAAAGGGAGTCTTGCAAACAGCAAGAGAGAACTGACTTGTTACATAAAAGAGATTCACAATATTAACAGCAGATTTCTCATCAGAAACTTTGGAGGCCAGAAGGCAGTATGCTGATATACTAAAAGTGCTAGAAGAATATAACTGTCAATCTAGAATCCTATATCCAGCAAAACTGTTTTTCCAAAGTGAAGGAGAAGGTAAGAAACTCCCAGATAAATGAAAGCTGAGAGATTTTGTTACCACTAGATCTGCCCTGCAAAAAATGATTAAGCGAGTTATGCAGGGTGAAATGAAAGGACGCTAGAAAGTAAGCTGAAGATGTATGAAGAAATAAAGATCTCAGTAAATAAAGCTAAATACATGTGCAATTATAAAAGCTAGTATTATTGTAATAATAGTTTCTAACTCCACTCTTTATATGTAATTTAAGAAACTAATCTGTTTAAAAATCATCCTAAAAGATGTTATTATTGTAACTCTGATTTGTAACTCCACATCATTTTGTTTTCCACATAATTTAAGAAACTAATACATTTAGAAAATTAATTTTTATTTTGGAACACAGAAGGTATAAAGATGTAATTTTGTGACATCAACAACTGAAAGAGGTGGGACTGGAGCTGTAAAGGAGTGGTGTTTTCATACATTATTAAAATTAAGCTGGTATACATTCAAATTAGAGTGTTATAACTTTAAGAAGTTAAATGTAATCCCCATGGTAACCACAAAGAAAATAGCTATAAAATATACATAGAAGGAAATGAGACAGGAATGTAAACATTTTACTACAAAAAAACAACTAAACACAAAAGAAGACAGTAATGCAGGAAATGAGGTACAAAAAAAGCTATAAGCCATATAAAAAGCAAATAGCAAAATGACAGAAGTCTCTCCTTATCCATAATTACTTTAAATGTAAATGGATGAAACTCTCTCTCTTAGTCCATTCCTGCTGCTATAATAAAATATCACATACTGGTGACATTTTTAGTTTATAAATAATAGAAATTTATTTTTCAGTATTCTAGAGGCTGGGAAGTCCAAGATCAAGGCACCAGAAGATTCAGTGCCTGGTGAGGAGTTGCACCTTCTTGCTCCATCCTCATTTGGCAGAAGGGGCAAAAGGAATGAACTCTCTTCCTCAAGCCCTTTTATAAAGGTACTAATTCCATCCATGAGGGTGGAGCCCTCATGACCTAATCACACCCTAAGGGATCTACCTCTTAATATAATTGCACTGAGGACTAAGTTTCAACATGAATCTGGAGGGATACAAATTTCCAAACCATAGCACTCTTCAATTAAAAGACAGAAATGAGAAGAATGTATAAAAATACATGGTACAACTATATGATTTCTATATGAGACTCACTTTAGATGAAAAGATACAGATAACTGAGAGTGAAAGATAAAAAAAAAATATATATTCCATGCAAATAGTAATCAAAAACTATTAGTTCCAGCACTCCGAGAGGCTGAGGCAGACAGATTGCTTGAGCTGAGGCATTTGAGACCAGCCTAGGCAACATGGTGAAACCCTGTCTCTACCAAAAAACAAAACTAAACAAAATAAAACAAAAATTTGCCAGGCATGGTGACATGTGCCTGTAGTCCCAGTTACTCAGAGGGCTGAGATGAGAGGATGGCTTGATCCTGGAGGCAGAGGTTGCAGTGAGCTGAGACTGTACCACCACAATACAGTCTGGGTGACAGAGCCACACACTGTCTCAAAAACTTTTTTTACAAGAGGCAAAGAAAGACATTATGTCTTAATAAGCTCTATACATCAAGAAGGTACAACAATTATAAGCATTTATGTACCTCATGATATATCAGTCAAAAGTATGAAGCAAAAACTGAAAAAATTGAAGGGAGAAATAGACAGTTCTACAATAATAGTTGCAGATTTCAATACCCCACTCTCAATGATGGCTAGAACAATGAGACAGAAGACCATTAAGGAAATAGATAATTTAAACAACATAATAAATCAACTAGATTTAACAGACATATGTAGGACACGCTACCCAACAGCAACAGCATACACATTCTTCTCAAGTGCACATGGGACATTTTCCAGGATAAACCACACATTAAGCCACAAATTGTCTTGGATATCATAAAAATTATCTGCTCTGACCATAATGGGATGAAGTTAGAAATCAATAATAGAAGTAAATGTGGAAAATTCATAAATTTATGAAAATTAATCAACACACTCTTACATAATAAATGGATTGAAGAAGAAATTAGAAGATAAATTAGAAAATACTTAAAGGTGAATAAAAATGAAATCACGATATACCAAAACTTACAGGATGCAGTGAAAGCAGTGCTGATGGGAAAATTTATAGCTGTAAATACTTACATTATAAAAACAAGACAGACATCAAATCAACAACCTACCTTTACAACTTAAGGAACTAGAAAAAAAGAACAAACTACCCAAAGCTAGCAGAAGGAAGGAAATAATGGAAATTAAAGCAGAGATTAAAAAATAGGAAAAACAACAGGGAGATTAATAAGGCTAAAAGTTGGTTCTTTGAAAAGGTCAGCAAAATTGACAAACCTTTAGCTGGATGGAATAAGAAAACAAAGGGAAGACTCAAATTACTAAAATCAGAGATGAAAGTGGGCACATTACTACCTATTCTACAGAAATAAAAAGGATTATAAGAGGGCACTATGTACAAATGTATGCCAACTAGTTGGATAACCTAGATGAAATGGACAAATTGTCAGAAATACAAAGCGTATGAAGACGAAATTCTGAAGAAATAGAAAATCTAAGTAGAACTATAAATTTAAGGGGATTGAATCAGTAATCAAATAGTTGCCAACAAAGAAAAGCCCTGGAGCTGACAGCTTCACTAGTGAATTCTACAAAACGTTTAAAGAATATCAATCCTTCTCAAACTTTTCCAAAAATTGAAGAGGAAGGAGACTTTCCAACTCATTCTATGAGGCCAGTATTACCCTGATACCAAAGCCAGCCAAAAACTCTACAAAACAAAACTACAAACCAATATCTCTTATGAGCATTGATGTAAAAATCCTCAACAAAATAGCAGCAAAGTGAATTCAGCAACATATTAAAAGGATTATATACCATGTCCAAATGGGATTAATTTGTAGAATGCAAGGATTTGTTCAATAGACAAACATTGATCAATATATACACCATATTAACAGATTAGAGGTGAAAAAAGCCTTGAATATCTTAATTGATGCAGAAAATTCATTTGACAAAATTCAAGATCCGTTTAAGATAAAAACACTCAACAAACTAGAAGTAGAAGGAAACTACCTCAATATGATAAAAACCATATATGAAAGACTCATAGCAAACATCATCTTCTATGGTGACAGACTGAAAGCTTTTCTTCTACAATCAGGAACAAGTATGCCCACTTTTGTGACTTCTAGAATAGTACTGGAAGTTCTATTTAGAGCAAATAGGCAAGAAAAAGAAATTTAAAAAATCCAACTAGGGAAGGAAAAAGTACAATTATCTCTGTTTGCAGGTGATATGATCTTATATGTAGAAAACTCTAAAGAGTTCACAAAAGGAAATATTAGAGATAATAAATGAATTTGTAAAAGTAGCAGGATATAAAGTCAATATATAAAAATCAGTTGCATTTCTATAGAGTAACAGTGAACAATCTGAAATGAAAATTATGAAAACAGCTCAACTTACAATAGCATAAAAAAACAAGATACTTAGTAATTAACCCAGGAGGGAAAGGCTTGTATAATGAAAATGGTAAAACATTGCTGAACAAATTTAAAGAAAACATAAATAAATGGAAAAACACTTTCACATTCACAGATTGGAAGATTTAATTATGTTAAGATTTCAATACTATTCAAAGCAATCTATCTACAGATTTAATGCAATTCCTATCAAAATAAAAAATACCTTTTTTTTGTTTTTTGGAGAAATAGAAAAACCCATCTTAAAGTTTATATGGAATCCCAAGGGACCCAGAATAGCAAAACTGATCTTAGAAAAGAAGAACAAAGCTGAGGCAATCACACTTTCTGATTTCAAAACTTACTATAAAGCTACAGTGATCAAAACAGTGTGGTACTGACACAAAGACAAACATATAGACCATGAAATAGAATAGAAAGTCCAGAAATAAACGCTAGTATATATGATCATATGATTTTTGACAAGGGTGCCTGCATCATTCACTGGGAAAAGGATAGTCTTTTCAACAAATGGTGCTGGGAAAACTGGATATCCACATGCAAAAGAATGAACTTGGCCCCTAACACCATATAAAAAGAGCAATTAAAAATGGATTAAACACCTAAATATAAGACCTAAAATTATAAAACTCTTAGAAAAAAATATAAGAAAAAAGCTTCATGACATTGAATTTAGCAATATTTTTTTGAATATGACACCAAAGGCACAGGCAACAACAACAACAACAAAATAGACTAATTGAATTTCATGAAAATTAAAAGAGTTTGTGCATTGAAAGTCACTATCAACAGACTAGAAAGGCAACCCACAGGTTGGGAGAAAATATTTTCAAATTATATTTCTTTTTGTTTTTTTTTAGACGGAGTTTCACTCTTGTTGCCTAGGCTAGAGTGCAATGGCGTGATCTTGGCTCACTGCAACCCCTGCCTCCTGGGTTCAAGCAATTCTCCTGTCTCAGCCTCCTGAGTAGCTGTGATTACAGGCATGTGCCACTATGCCTGGCTAATTTTTTCTATTTTTAGTAGAGATGGGGTTTCTCCATGTTGGTCAGGCTGGTCTCGAACTCTGACCTCAGGTGATCCACCCGCCTTGGCCTCCCAAGGTACTGGGATTACAGGCATAAGCCACCACACCCAGCCTCAAATTATATTTCTGATAAGGGATTGATATGGTTTGGCTGTGTCCCCACCCATATATCATCTTGAATTGTAACTTTCACAATTCCCATGTGTCATGGGAGAGACTCAAGGGGAGATGATTGAATTATGGGGGTGGATCTTTCCTGTGCTGTTCCTGTGATAGTGAACGGGTCTCAAGAGATCTGATGGTTTTAGAAATGGGAGTTGCCCTGCACAAGCTCTCTTTTTGCCTGCTGCCACCCATTTAAGATGTGACTTGCTCCTCCTCCTTGTTTTCTGCCACGATTGTGAGGCCTCCTCAGCCGTGTGGAGCTGTAAGTCCAATAAACCTCTTTCTTTTGTAAATTGCCCAGTCTTGGGTATGTCTTTATTAGCAGCATGAAAACGGACTAATACAAGGATTAATCACCAAAATATATAGAGAACTCCTAAAACTCAACAACAATGACAAAAGCAACCTGATTCAAAAACGAGCAAAGCACTTTTAAGTAGACATTTTTCTGAAGGAGGAAAAAAAAATGGCCAATAAGCCCATGAAAATATACTCAACTTTTTTAATAACTCAAAAAATACTCAAGATACTCACTAATCATTAAGGAAATGCAAATCAAAACTACAATGAGATACCACCTCACACTCATTAGGTTGGTTACTATCAATAAAACAGAAAAAATAAGTGTTGGTGAGGATGTGGAGAAATTAGAATCCTTCTGTACTACTGGTGTGAATGTAAAATGGTACAACCATTGTGGAAAACAGTATGGAGGTTCCTCAAAAAAGTAAAAATAGAATTATTGTGTGATCCAGCAATTCCACTACTGGGTATATACCCAAAGGAATTGAAATCAATATGCCAATCAATGAGATATCAGCACTCCCAAGTTTATTGCAATATTATTCACAATAGTGAAGACACAAAAATAACCTAAGTGTTCATCAATGGATGAATGGATTTCAAAAATGTGGCATTAGTACACAATGGAACACTATTTAGCCTCAAGAAAATAGGAAGCTCTGTCATTTGTGACAACATGGATGAACCTAGAGGACATTATGTTGAGTGAAATAAGATAGGCACAGAGATCAAATATTGTATGTTCTCCTTATATATGGAATCTGAAAAAGTCAAACTTGTAGGAGTAGAGAATAGAATGGTAGGTACCAGAGACTGGGAGAGTGGGGTCGGGAGATGGAAAGGGAAAGGAGAGCACATGGGTCAATGACTACAAAGTTACAGCTAGGAGGAGTAAGATCTGATGCTCTACTGCACAGCAAGGTGAATATACTTCATAATAATGTCTATTTGAAAATGTATGTCTAAAAGAGAGGATTGTAAATGTTCTCACAAAGAAATAATAAATACTTGAGGTGATGAATGTGCTAATTACCCAGATTTGATCATTGTACACATGTATCAAAATGTATGTATGTATATATATCACATGTATACATGTATCAAAACATCACATTTTACTCCATGAATATTATTATCTCTCAATTGAAAATAAAACTTGAAAAACGGGCTCCTTAAAGAGTGATTCATTCCAGGGCTGGTGCAAGGAAAATATAAAATGAGGCTGGAACGTCTTGTGGTGCCAGAAAATAAGGAAATGCTCACACCCAAAAAGAGGAGTGTGGGATGGAGGTGTGCTTGTTGAAAGAACACAGGAACCAACCTAAAGGAACCTGTAATGGCCAAAGCTGAAATAATTTTAGCAACAAAATAAATAATAACACTGTTAAGCCTTAATCCATAGAATTAAGTAAACAAATATTTTAAAATAGCCATGAGTTCATGAGTCATTATTTCTAATGAACTGAATAAAAGAATCAAAAGAGCACATCTCTTTCCTCTCCCCACTTTGATTCACCATCTTCTGCCTTTATGTTTTCTTCATCTGTGTATCTCCATGGAGCCTGGCCTCACATTATTCACATCGTAGGTGCTCAATAATTATTTATTACTGAATAAGAAGGGGATTTCTAAACTTGGACTTGCAGAGGAAATAGTGAGGAAGCTTATCTGCTTAAAAATCTCACTTCAGCCATTTTTCACATGTCCTTTTAAATTTTCTGGCTGGAGGCTTTTCCTTTTTCAAACAGAAGGAGTGGCCTCTTTACACAAATTCTGGAGGTCAAGAAGATTTTTGATAGATTTTACCTGGGGTAAGTCTAGTAAGGGTAAGCCATGGAATATTAGTGAACTGTCAGTGGATGATCAATATTAGGGACTGCTTCATTTTAAGGGGTTGAAGTTTTCTCTGAAGCTACTGTTAGAAACCAGGCTTGCTAAATGCTGTACTGTCTCACTTAAAAATCTCACCAATGATTTAAAAATGAAGCGTGATGAATTGGTTTACGTTCTTTTGCCCTTCCATGGAGTATCTCATTGCAGTATCTTCCACCCTTCACCAGGCCTGTTAACTCAACAGGGCTGTGGGTGATCAGAGCCACTTTATCTCTGCAAACCACACAGGCCATGACATAGAAACTCTTAAAATAGTGCCTTCCAAAGTCGCTGATTTCCTAGGGCTATTTTTTCATCTTTCCCTTATCAGATAGGGGTGAATACTCCAGGAATACTGGGGAGACTTCTATGGACACCATTCAAATACCCACCCTCAGCTGGACTCCTTTCAGAAAGGCACATGTGAAGCCAACATCTGGAGATCTCTGATATGTGAAATTCAACATTTTGAAATGAGACAAGCAGAAGATCCTTCAGGGCTTCCTTGTTGGTGAAGGCCATTAGCTATTGATTGGCCAGAGTACTTTAGTCTTCTAGTTTCAGGTGGTATGAGTTTTATAAATGTGACTTTGAAAAAATTTTTACACAACTGCAAGTGAAAATACATTTTCCTTTATAAAATAGCCCACAGCTTTCAAACAGTGATAAATCATCTGAGAGCCTTAGCAGGTTTGAAAAGCAACATTTATTGGCTAACACCGTCGTTTCTTTTCCCACCCAGATTTCCTCTCAAAGAAAATTTATAAGCATGTCTCTCTGATTGAAATATCTCCCATAACAAAACTGGATTGAAAATGTAGTCAATTCATTGTTTTTGCCTTCATAATAACTACGCTGAATGGACCAGATAGTTGATCTCATTGATTGTGAAGAAATCTTTTAAGTTGGCTGGGAAGAAAAAAATCAAAAACGATTAGGCCGGAAACCCTCAGAGTCGGTGATGGCATAAAAACAAGACTTGTGTTCTTTACAGACCAACTTTCTGTCTTTATTGAGGTATCTAATTTGGAAAGTTATTTTTTTCCCCCCCTGAAAAGGGTAATCGCTTTAATGACAACAAAATGTATTATTTCTCTGAAAGTTTTTGCATTCTTTTGCATCCAGATTCTAGATTACAAAAAATAGTAAGTTTCTAACTTTCCTTTTAAAATTAAAAAAATGTATTCACTCTTGATTGAGAAAAAGTGCAAAAGCAATTCCTAATTACTCCTGATTCTAGCCTAAGCATAGGGTAAATCAATTTGGGGTATTTAAAATCACCGAGTTGCACTCTGCTGAAGCCTTCAGATATTTTTCTAACCATTTATCTTTTGCACATGTAGAGATTGAATCTCTGCTCCTGGCACTAGGAATATTTCTGGAGATTCAGGAATCAAAGGATAGATCCCTTAGACATTACTTTTCCAGGGAAACGAGGGGAAAAATTTTTATTACTGAATAAACGAAAAAAAGGTTTTAATATCGTAGTTCTTAAGCTAGGTTTGATAGAGTCTGACTTCTGTTTTGTTTCTCAGCTACTGACTGCTTTTGAGGCCCATTTCTTTCTCTTCTCTTCTTGCCCCACATTTGGACGAGCCAGTAAGAAAATTCATGAGCTCCTTCCCTTGGCACCAGTAGGAAGTTAAACTATGCAAGCCCGCCTTTGTGGGAGGCAACCTTCGTGCTGGCCCCATTCTCCAACAATAATAAAAATCAAAGCTACTCATCCTTCCCTCCAGCCAAGCCATTTCAGAGCAGCTTGAGTGCTTGCCTTGCTCTCCCCAGAAAACCACATTATGAGAATAATCAACCTTTTTCATACCCTCTTGGAGTGTGTGTTATAGCACCAGTCTCAACATCTGAGCCAATTTTGGGTGGAGGATTGATCCTGCTGTCTAAGGGCAACCACAAAATTACTGGTGCTATGAGTAGGTGGTCGAGGCCACACCATCTGGACCGCTACCACCTGGGGGTCTTCTCCTGCTTTTGGCTTGCTAACTGGCTCTGCTGCCTACTGGAGAGTTTGCGCTTTTAGCTGTTGCTTGTTGGCTGGCATGAGCTTTGAGCTGTGTAACATTATGCTACATTTGCCAACTCCAACCAAGCCTCTGTCATGGATTTCACTGACCTAAGTTGGAAGTTTTAATAATTGTCATTTAGGGACAGGAGTATGAGGTGAGCACTTTCCTTAAGGTGGCTCTGGGCCATGCCTTGTGGCTCGGATCTCTGCATGAGTCTTGGATTGAATTGTATGCCTGGATTTCAGCATAAGCAGTGGCCAACACTAGATTTGGGAATGACTCTTTGCCTATGATCATTGGTTGCATGTCTCAAGCAGGCATTGGCCCTTGTTTTACAGACTGCTCAGGAGAATGACTACACCTTCTCTAATCTATGGGCTCAACAGGTGATCACTGATGTGAGGAAGAGTCGTCACTAGGTGGAGTGCTGGGGTCCACTCTCCAAAAAACCGGTGGTTTATGAGGACTCTACAAAATGCTGGTTCCGCTGTTGCTACCTATGTCTCTGTCATTTAAAAATGTCATAATCCTCAGGGTTTTAAGGGAATGCACCCTTGGCACAGACTCTTATGAAAAGTAGCTCCAAATGCTTCACTCTGTGCCTTTGAGAGGCCTGAAGACACCATTGCCCTGTTGAACAACTATGAAATTGTAAAATGGACTGACAAAGACTGGGTTTAATCAAGTGCTGCAACTTGTCAACATGACAAGGAGTTAATTCAAACCCAATTTAAGGTTAGGGTCCCTAAACCCAGGAAAGCAATAATTGCCATGAGGAAAGCCCATAACTCTGATGACACTAATTTGGGACTCTCTGGAGGAAGACATTTGTAAATGTGAGTAGGGTAGGAAGGACCCTCCCTCTCTTGCAAAGTATATCCAGTAACCATTCGAATAAAACAGAACAAAAACTTTGACAGAAGGGAAGGAAACAAAAACTAAAATAGATAAAAAGGATGCCAATTGGTTTTTGTACCTCTACAATATGGTTTTAAATTAACCTTAACATCTGCTGACATGTGCCAATTGACAAACTTTCATGGCCTTAATTGACATCAGGGATCAAATTACAGTTATACCTGGAAATTGCTTTAAACAAGGCACCCCGTATACTTGCAGCGGCGGTACAGACTTCAAAGAGCAGGCATAAAGCAAAGGCAAACGTGTATGCCTCACCTTAACCACTGGAAGTATTATTTTGCTTCATTTGTTTATTGTCTTAAAATATCCCATAGTGAGCATCTGGGCATGAATGATCTGATGCATTGAGTAACAAACTGAAATAAAAATAAGTCTTTGGCACTAACAATTAACAAAATGGAACCCTACATAGCTAACCTTGTTGTCTCCTGTCTCAGTTAAAATAGTTAATATGACCCATGTGTTCAAACAAGAACTACAGGAATTAAGACCCATCATACCAGACCTACTAAAGGAAGAAGCCATCGTTCCTACTTTCTTCTTCTTTAATAGTCCAACTTGGCCAGTGCTCAAATCTGATGAAAATGAATGCTACCCAATAGTAGGTAACATTGGGTAAAATGAATGTTACTTATAGCGTTAACCACAGCCTTAATGCTATGATATCATGATTAAGACTTCCAGGCCAGGCGCGGTGGCTCAGGCTTGTAATCCCAGCACTTTGGGAGGCCGAGGCGGGCGGATCACGAGGTCAGGAGATCGAGACCATGGTGAAACCCCGTCTCTACTAAAAATACAAAAAATTAGCCGGGCGTGGTGGCGGGCGCCTGTAGTCCCAGCTACTCGGAGAGGCTGAGGCAGGAGAATGGCGTGAACCCGGCAGGCGGAGCTTGCAGTGAGCCGAGATTGCGCCACTGCACTCCAGCCTGGGCGACAAAGCCAGACTCTGTCTCAAAAAAAAAAAAAAAAAAAGAAAAAAAAAAACTAATATTACTAAAATTACTGACTCCATCCAATCAGCAACTGAAAAATATTCTGCTATTGTAGATTTGGCTGATATTGTTTTATTTAGTGCCTGTTTGAACAGCCTCTTCACCACAGATTGTCTTCACTTTTGAAGGGACACAATATGCCCTTACCTGGTTACTCATAGGGCATATCAACAGACCTCCACTGTACACAATCATCGTTGTGCAAGAGTTCAACCATATCCAACTTTCTCCAGGAATGCAGGTATGACATCATACGGATGACATTCTCCTCCAAGGAGAATCATTTAGCACACTCATACCGGACCTAAAAATACTCACAAAGGAGCTCTCATAAAAAGGGATGGGCCATTGATTCACACGAAGTACAGAATTTGGACAGCTGAGTAAAATTCCAACTAATTATTGGTCACCCCTGACATGCTCCATGTTCTATCCCTAACACTGCTAAGAAGCAAATCTTGGCCAGGTGTGGTGGCTCATGCCTGTAATCCCAGCACTTTGGGAGGCTGAGGCGGGCGGATCACAAGGTCAGGAGATCGAGACTATCCTGGCTAACACGGTGAAACCCTGTCTCTACTAAAAATACAAAAAAATTAGCCGGGCATGGTGGCGGGCACCTGTAGTCCCAGCTACTCGGGAGGCTGAGGCAGGATAATGGTGTGAACCCGGGAGGCGGAGCTTGCAGTGAGCTGAGATTGTGCCACTGCACTCCAGCCTGGGAGACAGAGCAAGACTCTGTCTCAAAAAAAAAAAAAAAAAAAAAAAAAGAAGCAACTCTTGCTGGGTATGGTGCTGTGTGTCTGTTGTCTCAGCTACTTGGGAAGCTGAAGCAGGAGGGTCACTTGAGGCCAGGATTGGAGGCTGCAGTGCTTTATGATGGCACACCTGTGAATAGTCACCACACTCCAGCCTGGGCACATAGTGAGATCCCATCTTTAAAAATAATATTGAATTAATTAAAATTAAACAAAGAGGAAATTCTTGTCCCTCCCAGCATTTTCAATATGAAAACAGGCCCAACGTTTTTTAGGTCTTTGCGGGTTTTGGAGGCAGTATATTTCTCATTTACAAGTTCTGCTTACGCCCTTTTATACTGTTACTTATAAATCAGCCCATTTTGACTGGGATCCCTTACAACAAAAGGCTCTAAAATCTATCCAAATTGCAGTACATACACTAGTGCCCCCTAGAGATTCCTTCCCTGTAGATATTTTGGTAAGCTTCTTTCAAGGCTCCTGGAGATTCTGGACAACGATGAAGGCCATAAGTTGTTCGTGGGTGCAAGAAACTGCCCTTTCAACCTACATAACACACTGCTGGAATGACAGCTCTTGGCCACATA
Source organism: Homo sapiens (assembly GCF_000001405.40). Classification (NCBI taxonomy): domain Eukaryota; kingdom Metazoa; phylum Chordata; class Mammalia; order Primates; family Hominidae; genus Homo; species Homo sapiens. The sequence continues at coordinate 41,742,948 of NC_000012.12, read as the reverse complement.
CTAGGCGCTTCTGGAAATGGAGGCTCCCATGGTTCCTGTGACTCTCTGCAGCTAGCTGCCCATTATGTCTTGGGTCATGGAGGCTGTCATGGCCCCAAAGCCCTTCTCATTGAAATAAAAATGAGATTTACAGAGTAGAGTAAATTCTGGGCCTCCTGGCATATTCAACTTACAGGAGTAAATGGCTTCCCTCGTCTTCAGTTCCTTGATAGGTACAATGTCACAAAAGGAGGTCACTCCTCTCCTGGACCCATTGGTTACCTGGGAAGCCCTTGGGACCAAAAGGATAATCAGAAAGGGAGTTTGTGCACTTTTGGATGGTTGTGCCACTGGATGGTAGTTCCAGTGATAGTAGTAGCAATGCTATCACTTACAGTGGAGCCTGTTGGCCACCTGTTGCTGTCCACCCCCTAACTGGGACCTCCCTGTTCAAGGACAAGACCCAAAGGTCAGCACAGTGCCCTGACTTCAGGAAATTACCTTAGTACTACAGAAGTGGTCCCAACCCCCAGGCCATAGACTGGTAACTGTTAGGAATCAGGCCACACAGCAGGAGGTGACCAGCGGGTGAGTGAGTGAAGCTGAGCTCCACCTCCTATCAGATCAGCAGTGGCATTAGATTCTCATAGGAGCATGAACCATACTGTGAACTGCATGTGTGAGGGATCTAGGTTGCATGCTCCTTATAAGAATCTAATGCCTGATGATCTGTCACTATCTCCTATCACTCCCAGATGGGACCATCTAGTTGCAGGAAAACAAGCTCAGGGATCCCACTGATTCTATATTATGGTGAGTTGTATAATTATTTCATTATATATTACAATGTAATAATAATAGAAATAAAGTGCATAATAAATGTAATGTGCTTGAATCACCCCAAAACCATCCCCTCCCACCATCTGTGGAAAAATTTTCTTCCATGAAACTGGTCCCTGGTGCCAAAAAGGTTGGGGACCACTGCACTAGAGGATACCCTGGCTGACAATCAGCCCTACCTGTATAATTTTAGACTTTTGAACAATTGAGAATAATCTGGTTGTCTAATCTAAGCACCACCAACAACAATTCCATATCCAAGGCCCTCCCCTTTTGAGGTTAAAAAAAAAAAAACCTCTAAAAGTTTCTTGTCTCACAGATACCCCAAATATAAATTAAAGTTACGCATGTGTCTGCATATACTAAAGCCAAAATACAAAGCCTCAACAAAACACTTTTTAGCCCCTTTAAGTTTCAAGACTTGATTGATGGTTATGAAGTACACTAGGCTGAATTATGGCCTTCTACAAATGTACACTTCTAATTCCCAGAATCTGCGAATATGTTACCCGATAGAAGGGACTTTGTTGATGTGATTAATTTTCAGATGTTGCAATGGGAAGATTATCCTTAATTACCCATGGAACCAATATAATCAAAAGGGTCCTTATAAGAGGGAAGTGAGAAGGTCAGAGTTAGGGAAAGAAATGTGGAGATGGAGGAGGAGGTCAGAGTCAGGGAGAGATTTGCTGGGGCTGCAGTGCTGGCTTTGAAGGTGGAGGGAGGGGGCACGGCCAGGGAACACAGGCAGCCTGTAGAAGCTGGAAGAGGCAAGGAAACGGACTTTTCCCTACAGCCTCCAAAAGGAACCATCCCTGCTAACATCTTGATTTTAGCCCAGTGAGACTGATTTTGGACTTCTGACCTCCAGAACTATAAGGTAATACATTTGTGGAATTTTTAAAAGCCATTAAGTTTGTGGCAACTGGTTATAGCAGTAGTGGGAAACTCATCCCCAAAGGCAGTGTCACTTCACTTCTAAAAATCCGCAGTGCTGGACTTTTCCTGACCTCCTGCCACAGGCTTCAGAGAACACCACAACGGCTTTTTTTTAAGCCAGTTCCAATTCAAATAAATGAGACGTGACACATTTCCATCATCCATCAAACTTCAGGGTGAATTTTAATGAAGAATCTGACTCCATTTTTGATACTTGACTGTTGATATCCTTTAAGCCTCAACATTCCTTCTTCCTCTCTTGCTCCAAACCTGGCAGATGATCAGAAAGCCCCTATTCTCCTTCTCTTGGGTTGGCCAGAAGTTCACACCACCTAAGACCTGGACTTCAGGTGGAAACCTTCACCTGGCCCCATTCCCTAACCACAATAAAACTCCAAACCACTCACCTTTTCCTTTGTTAAAATCATTTTGGACCACCAGCTGCCCTGCTCTCCCCAGAAAGCCTTTTTATGTGAATAATCAACATTTCACACCCTATTAGTGAGATGTGGTGTCATCATTCTCAACATCCTAGCCAATTTTGGGAGGAAGGTTGTTCTTGCTCTTGGGATGACCACAAAACACTACGGTATCTCAGTATGCAAGGTAGAATAGAGCACATCCTAAGGAACATTTTTTCCCCCAAGTTCTAGTGAAAATTGATTTTATATTAAAATAAGCAAGAAATGAGTGAAACAGGAGACTTCATGAAACAGGAGACTTCAAAGCCATTTATGCTCTCAGGCCCCTTTTGGAATGGGTTCACCCTCTGTCATTAGGGCTACTTCAAGGCGCTATTTTAAGATAACTTCGTTTCAAACCCAGAATCAGGTAATCAAGTAAAATCAGGTCAGACTATCCCAGAAGGAATGTCTAGTAACATGCATCATGAAAATTGACCTGGCTTCTTTTGGTAGAAGAGCCATCTTAGATGAAATCTGAGTTAAGAGCTTTTAAACATTAATTTAAATATCAGTTAGTGCACTTGCGCAGAACTTAAAATATTTTGGAGATTACCATTCTAAAAAGTAATCAAATGCCCTTCCCACTTTTCCTGTCTTTTTTTTATTACTAAGTCTTTAAGGATTCATAATAATTTGTAGAAATCCTTGGATGTTCATTCCAGGAAATCTGGATGTGTTTGTATGACTGTGAGTGTGTGTGTGTGTGTGTGTGTGTGTGGGGTGTGGGGGGGACAGGGAGGTAAGGGGGGAGGAAGAGGGGGGCAGACAGAGAGAGAGGGGAAGAGAGACAGATTGATTTAAGGTAGTTGAATTGGGAAGAAAATATTTTCTGTGCCCAATTCAAAAAATGTTCTGTAAAACTGTATTGTAGGATGTATTATGAATGTATTTGCCAGCCTGCTTTTGTCCAAACTATAATGAAACATTTTTAGAATGCATGTACTTTATCTTTCAAAACGTCACATTTTATGTTATTTGCCTTTCTGGAAGCTTTTCTGTAACCAGAATTCATGTTAGAAAAGTAGACCTTAGAAGACCCCTCAGGGAGCTACAGGACAATGCTGAAGGAAGCCCAGCTCCAGCAAGCACAGAGAGAGAGTTTCTCCAACCCTGCAGAGCTTGCCATGAAGGCAGTGCCATGATGGACATTTTATACCAGTGCGGTGGTTGAAGGAGAATCCACACAACCAGCACAGCATACATTTTTCACCTACATCCTTACCATAGTGTTATACTCTCCTTCTGCCATTCCATTTCAGGCCTGATTAAAAATGGGCGCAAAGGGGAAAGGGAAGTTGGTGAGATGATATAAAATTCCTTCAAACGACTCATCTCTTTCTTTCTTTAGTAAGTATAGCAAATTTCCCCCTTATGACTTACATCAAATCCTACTTGCTACCTGTTTTTTTCTAGTCACCCAGTCTTCAGCTTAAGGAAATGCCTTCTTTGTCTGTGCGCCTTGGTGATGCTTACCTGTACTCTGCACCAGGCATGATTCATGCATTCCTGTGTGACTTTCAGGTCTTTGTGTTCTTTACCTTACTAGATTTTAAACTTTATATCCCTGCTCTGAGTAAAGGCAGGGATAAATTTTGAAAGCAAAAGCTACATTTTAATGTTTTTTTAATCCTCCACATGGCCAATTAGAATGATTTCAAACAGTAGTTGCTCCATAAATATACGTCAAATGATTAAATACTAGTTCGATTTTTGCTTACTGGATACTTTTAAAAGGACACTTGGGTTTCAGAAACCCTTTGGTGACTATCAGCATTTGGCTACTGAAGACTATTAGTATTTAAAGGACATGCACATTTACAGTTAATTCAATTCAAAATGTATTTATTGAATGATTATTATGTGCCAGATACTATACCAGATTTGGAGAATGCAAAGATTACTAAGAAATGGTCATGCTGTCAAAGACTTCACAAAGTCATAGGGAGACAGTGACACAAATAGATGACATTATACAATGGCTTAGGTTTTAGGAGACAGTTATATTTGGGAGGGTTTACAAATAAAAGAAAAACTTTGAGACAAAATTCTATTTTTTTTTGTTTTTATCATCAAAACGATTGGCACAGTAGGAAGACTCAATCAAACTAATTGCCTGGCAGATAATAGACTGCCCTATCTATTGTTTAAGGTTTTCACTTGGCCTCCCATTGTTTTACTGTTTTATAGATTCAGTCTCGACTGCTGAGTAAGATCAGGTTTCATAAACACAAATATTTTTTATTTTTAAAGCTTGACTTTTTCAATAGTGTCTTATCCTGCTTTTTTTCCCCTGAGTGATTTCAGCTAATTGCTTATGGAATACTAAGAGAAAATAAAAAACCAAAAAACACAGGCAAATATCAAGCAAGTTGTATCTGTTTTTCTTTCATTTTCAGTGGTATGAGGTAAACAATTTGCCAGAAAATCTGTGCTAATAGAAAAGCACATTTAGAATTATTATTATTGTTATTATTTTTTACCTTGACATACTATGTTTGAGTTACTTGACTTACTATGCTTAGCTTGACTAGTTTTGGAATTCCCTTGACATATGACTCCAGTAATTAAGTGAAGCATCTAGTTCTCAAAAGATCAGTTTCAGAGGGAGGGTGTTAACATGAAGTATCACCAATTGCTAAGTCTATTGATTGATTCTATTGGCTTGTACACGGACTAATATCATTTGCATTGAGGATGAGAAAAACATATTTAATTAGAATAAAGGGCACACAGTTACATTTTTGTTTTGTGGTGCATGATTAATTTTTAGAAGAACACTAAGCGAATAGCTGCAAGCATTCTTTTGATAGTGGGGTGTGGTCTTTTCCCTCCTCACATCTTTTTGTTGTTGTTGTGAAACCTGATATTCTTATAGTGCAAGGGTGCCTATGTGGGAGAAAGTGCTGGTTTGTTTGAAGGGAGAAACATATGTTTTCAAAAATAAGGCCTAAGCATTTTTTCTTAAAAATGTGCTTTTTACAGCAGCAGCATAATCTGCAGTTGGAGCAGCTGATACGGCCATCTTGCTGGTTGTTAAAGAGTTTATTCTACATTAAATTGACTCCCGAGGGCTGCATTTTTCAGTGCTGTTACGACAACCAACCTTTCTTATTGAGAAGGTCAATAGGCCTGATATGAAGTCTTGTAAATCATCAACTCACTCTTTCTGTAATATCCAATATGTCCCAGTTCACATGCCTTAAAAATTATAAACCACAGTACATACTGTATATCAACAAAATAAATCAGCTGCTATAAATATAGGTTTTCTTTTGGTTCTAGACAGATTCATCCCATTGCATTTCACAGATTTTAAATGGTTTTAGCTGGATAGACAGGATCTCCTTTAGTATTCAAGTATCAGAGAGCTGGAATGCAATTGGTTCTAAATACTTTATATGTGCAATTGACCCCAAAGCATTAAAATAGCTCTCTAAAATTCCACAGAATAGAGATACAAAATAATAAATGTGTTCTTAACTACCATGTTACTAGTTGATAAAAAACACTGAAGTTTTATTTTGATTTTAGGGGAATGGATGATAAGAACTAGAAGAAAATGTGAGTGACATTGTGGTCCTGCTTTAGGCGCTGTAGTGAATAATGTATAGATTAGATTAATTACATGTGGTATGAAGGAGAACCACAGTCCACCAGCCTTTTCTCTTGGTGGGCTTGGGGAATTTCTGGCCTACTCTCTCTCCATTTGCTGGGGAAACTGGTTATGCATGTACGTCTTTTAGTAGTAGAATAAACTGGATACCTATGAAACTATGGGCCAATAAATGGATTATTGGCATGAACTTACTCCTACTAATTTGTAATTTCCTTGTTCATTCCTTGATTGAACAGTGAAAAAAGCTGCCTCAGATCTGTGGCATTGCTGATTGCTGTCCACATGCTTTCCCAGTGAATGGCCTTGAGTGACCTTCTTTTATTTGTTTGTTTCCAGAGTAATTTTGTTATGAATTCATTTCTTAAAGCTAGAAACATAGTAAGCACTGCTTTTTGGCTCAGCAGGATGCAAATAAAAATAGAAGAAAAAATACATGCCAAAATTGCCTAGGATGCACATGGATTTGGAAGCAGAAGGCACCGATTCTGGTCCTAATTCTGTCACTGCTTGAATGTGTCAATAAGGAAGTCATTTAATTTCTCAAAAACAGTTGATTCTGATTATTTGCAGATTCCATAGTTGCCAGTTCACTTAATTGCTAAAATTTATTTGTAACACCCAAATCAATAGTTGTGGTGCTTTCACAATTATTTCTGAGCATGCACAGAGCACTAAAAAATGTGAGCCACCTGAAACATGCCTTCCTAGCTGAGACTGAACAAGATGACATTCTGTCTTTTTGTTTCAGCTCTCATACTATAAACAAGTCATCTTTATAGTACCACTTTTTTTTTTTTGGCAGTTTTGTACTTTTTTTGGTGACTTTGCTGTTTATCAGCCCCCTCTGTAGGGCTGAAGTGCTGTTTAGTATTTCTAAGCCCATGATATGCCTTCTGGAGAAAATATGTGTTAGATAAGTTTCATCTAGGCATGAGTTATAGTGCGGTTACCATGATTTAAATGTTAATTGAACAATGATATATACTGAGTAATATATTTTAAAACAGAAACACACATAAAACGAGCTTATATATTGATTGCTTGATGTACATGTGACCAGAGACTCACAGGAACCTAATCCTGTATTTCTCCTAGGAGCAGTAGTTCAGTATTTGCTAACTCCATGTTCATGGAGACTTCAGGGAACATAACTACTGCAAATGATGAAATTTGAAGGTATAATTGTTTCATAAAGAAAAATCGACATCTCATGATGTTACAGAAGTTCATCTCATAACCTTGAAATGTCAAATAAAACATAAGACACTATATGTATTCAAATACAAAAGATTTTCATAAGGAAAGTAAAGTCTTATGCAATGTTTAGAAAGGCTCTAACGACAAAGGTCAAGAAAGCCTCTAGCATGGTTAACAATCTGAAGCATTGAAAAGGGCAAAAAAACTCAGTAAAATACTGGCAAACCAAATCCAGCAGCACATCAAAAAGCTTATCCACCACAATCAAGTTGGCTTCATCCCTGGGATGCAAGGCTGGTTCAACATATGCAAATCAATAAACATAATCCATCATATAAACAGAACCAAAGACAAAAACCACATGATTATCTCAATAGATGCAGAAAATGCCTTCGACAAAATTCAACAGCCCTTCATGCTAAAAATTCTCAGTAAACTAGGTATTGATGGGATGTATCTCAAAATAATAAGAGCTATTTCTGACAAACCCACAGCCAATATCACACTGAATGGGCAAAAACTGGAAGCATTCCCTTTGAAAACTGGCACAAGGATGCCCTCTCTTACCACTCCTATTCAACATAGTGTTGGAAGTTCTGGCCAAGGCAATCAGGCAGGAGAATGAAATAAAGGGTATTCAATTAGGAAAAGAGGAAGTCAAATTGTCCCTGTTTGCAGATGACATGCTTGTATATTTAGAAAACCCCATCGTCTCAGCCCAAAATCCCCTTAAGCTGATAAGCAACTTCAGCAAAGTCTCAGGATACAAAATCAATGTGCAAAATTCACAAGCATTCCTATACACCAATAATAGACAAACAGAGAACCAAATCATGAGTGAACTCCCATTCACAATTGCTTCAAAGAGAAGAAAACACCTAGGAATCCAACTTACAAGGGATGTGAAGGACCTCTTCAAGGAGAACTACAAACCACTGCTCAACGAAATAAAAGAGGACAAAAACAAATGGAAGAACATTCCATGCTCATGGGTAGGAAGAATCAATATCGTGAAAATGGCCATACTGCCCAAAGTAATTTATAGATTCAATGGCATCCCCATCAAGCTACCAATGCCTTTCTTCACAGAATTGGAAAAAACTACTTTAAAGTTCATATGGAACCAAAAAAGAGCCTGCATTGCCAAGACAGTCCTAAGGCAAAAGAACAAAGCTGGAGGCATCAAGCTACCTGACTTCAAACTATACTACAAGGCTACAGTAACCAAAACAGCATGGTACTGGTACCAAAACAGAGATATAGACCAATGGAACAGAACAGAGCCCTCAGAAATAATACCACACATCTACAACCATCTGATCTTTGACAAACCTGATAAAAACAAGCAATGGGGAAAGGATTCCCTATTTAATAAATGGTGCTGGGAAAACTGGCTGGCCATACATAGAAAGCTGAAACTGGATCCCTTCCTTACACCTTATACAAAAATTAATTCAAGATGGGTTAAAGACTTAAATGTTAGACCTAAAACCATAAAAACCCTAGAGGAAAACCTAGGCAATACCATTCAGTACATAGGCATGGGCAAGGACTTCATGTGTAAAATACCAAAAACAATGGCAATAAAAGCCAAAATTGACAAATGGGATCTAATTAAACTAAAGAGCTTCTGCACAGCAAAAGAAACTACCATCAGAGTGAACAGGCAACCTACAGAATGGGAGAAAATTTTTGCAATCTCCCCATCTGACAAAGAACTAATATCCAGAATCTATAAAGAACTCAAACAAATTCACAAGAAAAAATCAAACAACTCCACCAAAAAGTGGGCGAAGGATATGAACAGACACTTCTCAAAAGAAGACATTTATGCAGCCAACAGACACATTGAAAAAATGCTCATCATCACTGGCTATCAGAGAAATGGAAATCAAAACTACAATGAGATACCATCTCACACCAGTTAGAATGGCGATCATTAAAAAGTCAGGAAACAACAGGTGCTGGAAAGGATGTGGAGATATAGGAACACTTTTACACTGTTGGTGGGACTGTAAACTAGTTCAACCATTGTGGAAGACAGTGTGGCGATTCCTCAAGGATCTAGAACTAGAAATACCATTTGACCCAGCCATCCCATTACTGGGTATATACCCAAAGGATTATAAATCATGCTGCTATAAAGACACATGCACACATATATTTATAGTGGCACTATTCACAATAGCAAAGACTTGGAACCAACCCAAATGTCCATCAATGATAGACTGGATTAAGAAAATGTGGCACATATACACCATAGAATACTATGCAGCCATAAAAAATGATGAGTTCATGTCTTTTATAGGGATATGGATGAAGCTGGAAACCATCATTCTGAGCAAACTATCACAAGGACAGAAAACCAAACATGGCATGTTCTCACTGATAGGTGGGAATTGAACAATGAGAACACTTGGGCACAGGGTGGGGAACATCATACACCAGAGTCTGCTGTGGGGTGGCAGGAGTGGGGAGAGATAGCATTAGGAGATATACCTAATGTAAATGACGAGTTAATGGGTGCAGCACACCAACATATATACCTGTGTAACCAACCTGCACGTTGTGCACATGTACCCTAGAACTTAAAGTATAATAAAAAAAAAAAAAAAGAAAAGAAAAGGGCAGTTCTTAAAGGGTTTTCTAGAAGCTGCTTAAAGAAGCTCACATCTGCTTGCATCTATCTCTGGAGCACAGTGACTTCTTTCCACCTTTGAAGTCCCACGTAAGTGTCTCTCATTAGCAGATGCTAACCTGAAACCATATATGAAAGGCATTTTGGAAAACGTAGTTCTTGCTTGCTCTCCTGAGAAGAAATGGTAGTGATTCTGTGCTGATGAAAGATAGTCTAGAACAAGCAGCAGTAGTAAAAATAATAATAATGATAGTCTTGCAATAGTATTTAATAAAAACATAATCAGTGTACAGTGTAGTATCGAGCTGGGCCTTCCATTATAGCTACTGTCACAGACTCAATGACTATTTACACAAGGTCTCTGTTCATGTATACAGAACCTTCAGAACCATAGTCATACTCTGGCTTCAGAGCACAGGCCAGGATCCACCAGAACTCAGCTACTTTTCCTTCTTCTACTCTCTTCCATGAGGGTCTGGTGGTATCTCTTTTTGGATCCTCAAAATACAAAAATATCTGATTGCACCTCCTTCCTCAGGCAATGGAGCTACTTGTTCACCTTCCTAATGGCAGCTACTCTCAATTCTGTCCAGGGTCAGACACCCACTCTTGGAAAACAATAGATTTTAATGCCTCAAGAACCATTTGCTTTCCTGAAGTTGATCAGGGTATAACATGGGCAATGCCTCAATAAATTCCTTATCACAGATACTCTTTGCATTTCAACGTGGTAGAAATTTCAGGGTCGATGGTGGAGACATTTGGGGGAAGGGTCATTGTGGTTGTAGAGAAAGCCATAGTCTGAGAATTATCAGATCTATATTTTAGTTCCAGCTTTGACAGTTAAGTAAAAACTATTCTATGTTCTAAAGACAGAATTTGAAGTCCTGATACATGTCCACTTTGGCATTTTGCATATTCCTTCTGAAATGTCACTTAAACCCAGAGTTTGATTGCACTTTATAATGGCATAATTCCCTTAAAAATAAAAAGAAGGTGTTGATATAAAGACCTAGATAAGTCCCTCGAAGGAAATGTTCAGGGATGTGATTTTTGACAGCTTTTAGGTTTCAGTGGGAAGGTGACAGATTTTGGCAAAAATGAAATCTTGTTTGAATTTTTCTTTAATTTTTTTTTCTAGATTGGTGCATGACTAGAGGTGGTTTACTTTGAGCTTTGCTTATTTAAATTAAACTTGTTTCAGTATTTAGAAGGTAAGTTAAGTCCAATATTTTGATTGCATTATTAAGTCAAAATGTCTTCAAGTGAGATCCACTCTCTTGGAGGATGCTGAGTTTATAACCGAGTTTCATTTTTACCATCTTTCAGCATGAAGAAACCCCTGATTCTAGTAGTTTTCATCATATGACCATAACTGGCTTCCTCTCATGGCTGATTACATTTTTATAGTTACCATCTATATATATTTATGTAAATCTCTGCTCCTGGAAGATTTCAGCTTAGCTGATAAAAAGCAGTCTGTTTGATTTCCATCCTTTTAAAACAGAACAATAAAGGCAGCCTAGGAAGTGTTGATTATTCAAGTAAAACAGTAGCTCTAAATTCTTTGACTTTCCAGGCTTGTCCTTTAATAGAAAATAATGCTGTAAATAGAAGTAAGCCCGTTAGCTAGAAACAATTCAAGGATTGAATTCAATAAAAACTCCCCTGGGTTTCTGCATGAAAGCTATTGAATTTGGCTGCAAATGAGCACAAAGCACCTTCAAAAATTTTTTTCTTATCCTTTCCTATTGTAGAGTCCTTGATTTAGTTTATTAGACAATAATGGATCTCCATTGACCTACCTAACTGGTGCATTTAAATACCTATTTCATTTAAAGATAGGTATTAAAACACCTATTTCATTAAAAAATATGTTCAAAAAGAAATATAACAGCTTGTTCAACCATCCTTCTTAACAGCTCCTTTGGAGTCTCTCTGTGCTCTCAGCTAAATCCAAACTTGCAGAATTTCATTATGAGAGAGCATTGAGTCAATTCAATTACCCTTGGAATTTGTGGTGGTCTGTCATGTTAGAGTTTCACCCCAGGGAACTACAAAGTGCATTCATTTTAATTTTGCTGTATCCACATGAGGCTGTCCCGATTGAGGAAATTCAGGGAGTGGGACCCGATCCTGTGTTTCACTCTTTAAAATTGAAGTATAACATACACATATTAATAGACAAAAAGTGCTCTGATCTTAAGTATATAGCTCTATGTATTTTTGCATATGTATACAACCATCATGATCAGTCCATGTAGATAGAGAACATTTCCTGCATCCCAGAAGTTTCCCTGTGTTTTTTTCCAGTTAATACTCCCAGCCCCAGAGATAACCACTATATTGACTTCTGTTGTCATTGACTAGTTTTGCCTTTTCTTTGACTTCATATAAACGAATCCTATACTATATGAGCTTTTGTGTTTTCTTTCACTTGGTATAATGTCTGTGCCATCCATCCACGTTGTTGCATGTAACAGCTTATTTCCTTTTATTCCTGAGTAGCATTCCAGTATATTAAAATGCCAGAGCTCATTTATCCATTCTCTTGTTGGACATTTGAGTTGTTTTCAGTTTGAGGTTACTATAAATAAAGCTGCTATGAATATTATTGAATGTGCCTTTTGATGGATATACGCAGTCATTTCTCTTGAATATATACTTTGGTCTGGGACTGTTGGATCATACGGCAGGCATATGTTAGCTTTCATGAATATTGCCAATTTTCCAAAGTGATTGCTCCAGTATACATTCCCACCAGTACTGTTAAAAGAGTTCAAGTCGTTCCACATCCTCACTAACATTTGGTACTGTTATTCTTTTTAAAATGTAGCCATTATGATGAGGAATTGGTGGTATATTCCTGAGTTCTATTTAGGGAACATTTCCTGACAAGTATTGTTGTTTAACCCCTTTTCATATATTTGTTGGTCATTTTAGGTTTTTTGGAAATTATCTTTATAGCACATGTTTTGAAAAAAATTTATTGTTTAATCTCCTTTGTATTAATGTGTGAAGTTCTTTGTATATTCTAGATGCAAGTCCTTTGTCAGCTATGTGGATTGCCAATATTGTTTTCTTAGTCTATATGGCCTGTCTTTCCAGTCTTTTAATAGAATCTGTCAATAATGGAAGTTATTTAATGAGATAAAATTTATCGATATTTTCGTTCTGTGGTAGTGCTTTTTGTGTTCTATTTAAGAAATCATTGCTCATTATCAGACGGGACCTGTTTTTTTGAATGTGGCTCTGTGAATATTTTGCAAATTCCCTTCAGGGAACCAGCAGTCTGACTAACTCTGAAAACTCTATTCAAGGAGTCAAATTCTTCCTGTAGTTATGGGGGAGAAGTTTTTTTTTTTTTTTTCCTGGGGGAACAATGGCAGTTGCTGTGGGATTGTTCTTGTTTTTTTCCACAAGGGGTGTAGGGATCATGTTTATTGCCAACTCATTTGAGTATATTAAAATTAGATACATTTTTAATATAAACTGATATAATCATTTAATTTTTGACATTCAAAGCTGAATGGGCTTTTTTTTTTTTTTTTTTTTGAGACAGAGTCTCGCTCTGTCGCCCAGGCTGGAGTGCAGTGGCGCGATCTCGACTCACTGCAAGCTCCGCCTCCCGGGTTCACGCCATTCTCCTGCCTCAGCCTCCCGTGTAGCTGGGACTACAGGCGCGCGCCACCATGCCCGGCTAATTTTTGTGTTTTTAGTAGAGACGGGGTTTCACCGTGTTAGCCAGGATGGTCTCGATCTCCTGACCTCGTGATCCGCCCGTCTCGGCCTCCCAAAGTGCTGGGATTACAGGCGTGAGCCACCGCGCCCGGCCGAATGGGCTTTTTTTGTACCCTGGTATGAACTAGTAAAAACATTTTGGAATCTATGTAAGTAAAGATGAAGGGAAAATGCATCCATAATAGTTGAGAGGAGGACTGTTAAGAAGATAGCAAAAGGTAAAGATATTTATGTCCCCAAGTTTAGGAGTAAAGAGAACTTTGGAGTGCTCCAGTGAGCCCTCTGTTGGAAGGATAAGTTGAGGGCATCAGTTTATCCTAATTCTCCCCAACCTGTCATGCAGGCCAATTGAATAGAGTTAGTTCACAGAAAGGAAACCAATGTAAGGGGTTCCAAGGAAAGAAAAAGTAGAGGTGACAACGACCGCCTCTCTCCTGATCTTTCATCTCTGAAATCAGTAGCAACCAGTTAGATCTTGGATTGGATGTGGCCAGCAAAGGATACAATGACAGTGCAGTGACTCTTCTGGAGCTTGGCTTCATGGCTGCTGGGCCATTTTCTTCAGGTTCTTTATCAAACAGCAAAGCCAAGAAGTCAAGTTGAGTCAACTTACTATCCATGCTGGGCATCTTCCATTTGCCTTTCCAGATCCACTCTTTATCCTTCTCCCCACTGCTTTGTGCCATGGAGGCTGGCCTGCCTGGCATATATCTTGGTTGTCTCTTGTCTTCTGGCTTTTGGTTGGGTTTGCCCAATGGAGGACAACAGGAGATTAGAGGCAGGAAAGAGTGGAAAGTGAAAGTAGTTATTCCCTCCCTTTGGGGTTGCTTCAAGTTGGATGTGTCCAGGGCCCTAGGGACACAGCCCCTTTCAGGTGGCCCTCTCCAGGTGATACTCACTCCAGGTTCTGGAAGCTACTGTTTCCTGGACTCCTTCATGCTTGGAGTTACCTACAGCCTCTACTGCTACTTGTCCTGGAGTACTGCACTGTCCCTTGTGACTCCCTGTCTACTGTGTTTATGAGTCCCTACACATAGTTCTGTTATTAAACTCTCTTTCAATGACCAATTCATAGATGAAAGGAAGTAGAATTGTCTGAGAGTGCAGGGTCATGGAGGTTGCACTTCAACTAATATTTCATTGGCAAAAACATGATGCATACCACTGAAATGTTATCCAGTAAGCAGCTCTCATTTTCTTATTGTGCTCTGCTCCTTCTGCTAGTTTCACAATGGGGCTTGATACTTTCTTTAAAAAGTTTTCTTTTATATATATATTTATATATTTAGGGGGTACGAGTGCAATTTTGTTACATGGATATATTGTGGAATGGTGAGGTCTGGACTTTGAATAGTGTACATTGTACCTATTAAGTGATTTCTCATCCCTCACCCCACTCCCACCCTCCCACCCTTCTGAATCTCCAATGTTTAGGGCCTGATGCTTCCTGGTGCATCTCCATTAAGGCTGTCTTTTCCCTTTCCTATTCACCTGGCTCCCCGTTCTTCAAAGCTCAGCTTAAATATTAATTCCAAAGTTACCTGAAGAGTGTTATGCACCACTCATTCTTACCAAGGAGTAATTTGATTAAGAGAGTTAAAAATTTGATTTAAATACATATTTGTGCTTTTGTTTAGGTCTACCTCTCTCTCAGCATGTGGTTGATGTGGGATTTGCTCTGTTTTATTTGCCACTGTAATAATATCAACTAGCATTGTGTTTGGTGCCTTTGTAAGTGCTTGATAAACATTTGTTGAGTAAATGAATGATTAATGATCAACGATATAATAGAATTGAGCTGTACTGAATCTTTGCAAATGAATTGATCATGTATCATTAAAAAATAAAAATCACTTAACTTTGGGCTAAGAAATATTATACTAATAATAGTAAAAATAAATGAAGCATAGAAGAAATACATGTACCCAAAATATGTCACCCAAAGTATCAAATCTTCATTCTTTTCTATTTTATTCTAGACTTCATCTTTATTTCTACACAATTTCTCAAAAATTGCTATTCTAAATAGATGAAATTTTGCTTTATCTTTACATTGAAAATGTTGCACAAACATTCCTTTCACTGCTAAATACTCTGAATAGTTACAGTTTCTAATAGCCACATACAATTTTGTAGAGTTGATATATCATGACTGCTCTTCGCCCTGCTGTCTGACATTTAGGTTGTTTTCTATATTTTACTATTATGAGTCTAACCTAAATGAATGGTTTCATGACACTCCAGTGCAAGAAAGGTCATGTTTCTTTATTTTTCTAAATCAAATTAAATATGGCTAGGGCTCCCACCTGTGAAGGTTAATGAGAAATCCAATCTCAGCCCTTTTTCAAACAGCTTCTGTCTCTTTCACTGGTTTTACCAGAAACCTGGGGCCTATATGACTCAAGAAAATGGAGAACCAGCTCCTTAATTCCATCCCACTTTTGTTCCTTTTGTTTTTCTTTACAATCCAATGTGGAGGGCTGGTCCTCACTGTTTTGTAGTTATGGTAGCTCTGAATGGCAGCAGTAAAGCCCATTCATGAAAGCCCTGCCCATTGGTGGCAGCTCTGACATGTAATCACTACCTTCCTTCGGCTTCCCCCAGGTTTTTTTCACTTCTTGAGGACTATACTCAACCATGTGCATAGTTTTCACATTATACTCAATTAGTTTTCCTATCCAAAAAACCTCAAACCCAAACCTGCCCTGGAAGTCTCCTAGGATTAACTCCATTGCCTGGTGATTCCAGCTTCCATTTCCATCCTCTGTCAGACAATTTTAATTTATTTCTTGTATAAACCGAGACCTCTCAAACCAAGGCTTCGGTGGGGATGACTTTAGGGAAGCTTCTGAAATAAAAAGACCAAAAAGAGCTTGTTAAGCCCCGTGGAGCTCCACCCCGAGAAGAGATTAGAATTTATAAAATACAGGCATGCATGTCCTTTGTGTGAAAGAGGAAAAGAAAGAAAATGTTATTCTTTTAAGTTCTCAGAGAATAAGGCTCACATCCATACCTCAGTATATTGTCCTGCCATGTAAAAATGCTAAATAAATATTATGGAGCATATCATTTTTTCTCAAGAAATATAATTATTGGGTAAAATATGTAACTGTTTCCTTAGTCTGAAACCTAAATGTTGTAACAAAAGAAACCAAAAAGGCATAAACCATAAAGAGGTTGGCTTCTACTTCTGTTAATGGTGCATGAAATAATTTAGGAGATTCTTCCACTGAAGACAAAGAGAAAACATGGCTTTATGTGGTCAAAGAAAATTGGGGAAGAACTCATCTTCAGCTCCCACTGTCAGTAGTGTTACAATAATGCTTTCTGCTTATGAACTATTGAGGGGAGCAGGCTCCAGCCTCCCCTGGGCTCAAAAACTCCAAAGCACACATACAATGTTATCAGTGATGATGTCAGAGAGCCATGAAAAGAATAAAGTTAAATCAGGCTAGAATGGAGGAAGGACCAAGACCTGGGGAAGTGAGTTCTCTTTTTGAGGCTGCCTTCCTTGAAATGAGTTGAGTTACTGTTTCTAGAAAAAGGAAATCAGAGTCTGAGAGCTTGGCTGCTGCTCTGGATAGCCTTCAAAGAAAGTAAGAATTTGAATTCAGGCCTGGAAAAAAGGTAAAAGGGCCCTAGTGAAAATCCTGACCCATATCCCATAGGGTTGCATTCCAAGAATAGAAAACAGATCAGAATTAAACCTGAGAAAGCCTGGACTCTCTGCAAATCCTGTCTAATTCTAAACTAAAAAGAGGTGGGCTCAGATTGCCAGAGCCCCTAATCAACAGAAGCAACATATATTCTCTCTAAAGAACAATCACCAAATTTTTGGACTCAAGTGAATTTTATAAATAATTTTGCAAATACAATATCTGGTATACAATAGAGAAAAATCAGCCATGCAGGATGACAATAAATCATGAAAGAACTAAATAGAAACAACAAACAACAAAAACAGATAAATATTGGCTTCAGATATTGGAAGACTAAGTTTATTAAACGTGTATTTTAAAATACATATGCCCGTAATTGATGACAAAATACAGAATGATTTTTTTTTTAGAGAATTGGAAGCCACGGAAAAGAATTAAATGCCAATTCTAATACTACAAAATGTAATAATCAAAATTAAGAGCATAAAGATGGAGAAATAGCAGACTAGAAGTAACTGAGGAGAGATTTAATGGACAGGAATATAGATGAGAAGAATATAAAGAATAAAGCAAAGAGAAATACAAGGATGGAAAATACAGAAGAAAGGATTAGGAGACACAGAGGAGGGTGAAAAGGTATCATGTTTATGTGATTGGAGTCTCAGTGGGAAAAGAGAGAAGTGATGAGACAGAGCAATATTTAAAGAGATAACAGATGAGACCTTCCCCCCAACTGACAAATACAAAAATCTTAAAAGCAGATAAGGAAAACAAAGCAACAGATTGCCTTCAGCAAAGCAACATTTAGGTTGATAGTTGTCGTCTCAGTAGAACCGATGGAAAGCATGTGATTATAAAATATTTACAAAGTGCTGAAAGAATTCTATATGCAAAGCAGACAGTAACAATGAAAGCAACAAAAATTCCATAAACAACTCCAAAAAAAGACAAAATACATTTTTAGATAAATAAAAACAAAGTAATTATTTGACAGCAGATATACACTAAAGAAAATAAGAAAAAGTGTTCTTAAGGCGGAAGACAAAAAATTGTAGGTAGAGGATTATAATGTTGAAAGGAACAAAAAACAATGGAAATAGTATACACAGTAGTCCCCCCTTATCCATGGGGAATACATTCCAAGACCCCCAGTGGATGCCTGAAACCACAGATAGTACCTAATTTTATATAGATTATGTTTTTTCCTATACCTACATACATACCTATGATAAAGTTTAATTTATAAATTAGGCACAGTAAGAGATAAACAACAATAACTACTAATAAAATAGAACTATTATAACAATATGCCAGCACCACTTTGCTTGTGCTTTGGGGCCATTATTAATTAAAATAAAGGTTACTTGAACACAAGCACTGCAATACTGCAACAGTAGATCTGGTAACCGAGTTGGTTACTGAGTGACGGGGAGTGTATAGAGAGCAGATTGGCTGGACAAAGGGATGATTTATGTCCTGTATAAGAGGAAGTTGGGAAGGTGGGGAGGTGAGTGTGAGATTTCAACATGCTATTCAGAACAGCACACACAGTTTAAAACTTATGCATTGCTTAGTTATGGAATTTTCTACTTAATATTTTCAGACCATGTTTGACCATGGGTAACTGAAACCCCAGAATGAGAAATTGTAGATAAGGGGACGGACTGCTGTATGAGTAGTTCCTCTCATTAAATAATAGAACAATCAGATGGAAAATTAGCAAGGAAAGTACATAACTGAATAAGATAATTAGCAAAGTTGACATATGTGGAACACTGTTCACAAAATCTGGAGATTTCATATTCTTTTTGAAGTAAGTACAAAGGATATTTATAATATATCACTATAATCTGAGCTATAAATTACATTTCAATATATTTAAACACTTATAGAGTACATTCTCTGGCCAGAGTGATATTAAACAATAAGCAAATAATAAAACAAAAATTTAAAACTGTCATTTTTTTGTAAATTAAGAAGTACAATTATAAGCAATGCATGAGTTAAAACACAAATCAATGGAAATGTGAAAATATTTTGAACTAAATTAAAAAGAAAATGCTGCATATTTAAACTTAGAGGCAAAAAAAGTATGGCCCTAAATGTGTATGTTAGAAAAGAAAATAGACTAAACATTGATGAGCTAAGAATGCATAATAATAAATTAGGGAAAAAACATCAAATTATGTCAGAAGAAAGTAGAAAAAGAAAAAAGATAAATATAGAAATTAATTTGAATAGACAATACATACAACAGCAAGGATCAATTAAGCTCAATGACAGCTTTTTAAAGAAACTAATAAAATTTATAACCCCCACTGTACTACTCAGGTAAAGAATAATGGCAGAACAAATAATCAGTAATAGGAATAAAAAATAGAAAGGACACTACTACAGATACTATAGAAATTAACAATATTCTAGTAGGATATTATGAAAAACTTTATGACAATAAATTTGAAAATTTACATGAAATAAACAAATTCCTAAAAAAATTTAGCTTACCAAAATTGGTACAAGAAGAAATAGAGAATTAGAAGAGATTTATAATACTTAAAAATATTGATTCTGTGATTATATACCAGAAAGAGAACTCCAGCCAAGATAGTTTTAATGGCTAATTCTAATAAATATTAAAGAAGAAATAACACCAATTTTACACAAACTCTTGCAGAGAATAGAAAAAACAATCCCAATAATTTCATGAAACTAGCATATGCTTTGATATCAAAGCCTAAAAATCACATTAAAAGAAAAAAAATTACAGGCCAATTTTTTAAATAAACATTGATGTTAAATTTCTAAGCAATATATAGTCAGACTGAAACTAGGTTTCAAAAGTATATAGTGTAAATATAATATAATGAAAAGTATATAAAGTAATAAAAAAGTAATAAAGGTAATAAAAAAGTATAAAAAGTAATAAAAGTATATAATGACCAATTGGGTTTATTATAGGAATGTAAGTTTAGTTTAGCATTTAAAAAAATCAGTGTAATTTACCACATTAGAAGAAAAGAGCAAAATAATTTGGTAACATTTAATACATACTAACAATAAAAACCCTTAACAAACTAGGAATGGAAGAAAATGTTCTTATGCTAATAAGGATATCTTCAAAAATCTACAAAAATATAATTAATGAAGAATATTTGAAAATTTCCCTTTGGGATCAAGAACAAGACAAGAGTTTCCACTGTCATCACTTCTGTTGAATATTGTTCTAAATGTTCTAGCCAGTGCAATAAGGTTAAAAAAAAGACATAAAGATTGGAAAGAGGAAATAAAACTATCATCATTTGACGATAATTATATAACTAAAAATCTAAAAGAAAATATGGATAAATTATTATAATTAAATTAATTTAAATTATTTTATAAGTGCTTAATCTCTATATACTAGAAAAATATAGACTATATATGAATTACAGAAATATGCAGGAAAAAGAATTTGAAAGGTAACATTTATAATAAAATAAAAATGTTGAATATCTATGCATAAATCTAATAAAATATTGTAAGACCTCCATGTATGATGCTATAAAACATTATTAAGAGAAATAAAGAATCTAAAAAGTGGAGCATTTATTATTCAGAATACTCAATATATTAGAGGTGTCAGTTATTTTCAAATTGATCTACAGAATCAGTAAAATCCCAATCAAAATCCAATGTTTTTTTTTTGTTGTTGTTGTTTTTTGTTTTTTTTGTTTTGTTTTGTTTTTTCCTGTGTGGAACTTGACAAGCTGATTCTAAAATGAAATGAAAATGTAAAAGGCAAGACTAAAGTAGGGAGTGAAACCATCCTAGAGTGTCTGGCTAGGTCTGAATAAAACTGACAAAGAGAGATTAAGAGGAGAAAACATCCACATTTATTTAATAAAAGTTCTATACAGCACAGGAGCCTTCAGAAATGAAGACCCAAAGATTCAGGGAAAACTGTCCATTTTTATGCTTAGGTTTGATGAAGAATGCGTAGCTGGGTAGAAATGTGATTGGACAAAAGGGTATGGTTTAATGGCAATAGGTGGGGGGCAAGGGCACCCAGCAACGTCTGTTTATGGTTCTGTTTATGGTTGGCTTTGGGGAAGAAGAGTCGTAGTTTCTATGGCCTGCCTTAGGGAAAATGGGAGCACAGGAGAAAGAAGGGTAGGAGAAGGTCAGAAAGATCTTGCTACTGTGACCCTTTTGATTTCCCTCACTTTGAAGTACTCAGCATGCCAAGGCACCATACGTTGGGGGTATCATGTTCTGAGCCCTGGCACTAGGCAATGGTAATGAAGAAACATAATATGGGAGAACTTGATCTAGCTGATATCAGATATATTACAAAGCTACAGCGATTATGACAATGTAGTATTTAATTAAGAATAACAAGTATGTAGAATAGAACTGAAAACCCAGAAACAGACATGGGCACTTGATTTATGATTAAGGTAGAGCTACAGAACTGAGAGAATGAAGGGCTCATCAACAGATGGTATTGTGACAATTGGTTACTCATCTAGGAAAAATACAAAGGTCCGTTTTTATACTACATACAATAATTATTTTCACATAAATTATAAAATCAAATGTAAAGGACAAAGAATAAAACTTCTAGAAAATAATTTGCGTGCATATCATTATGACCTTCACCCGGGCTGGAGTGCAGTGATGTGATCTTGGCTCACTGCAGATTCTGCTTCCCGGGATCAAGCAATAGTTTCACCTCTGTCTCCCCAGGCAGCTGGGACCACAAGTGTATGCCACCATGTTTGGCTAGTTTTTAATTTTTTTTCTGTAGAGACAAGGTCTCACTATGTTGCCCAGGCTGGTCTCAAACTTCTGGGCTCATGTGATCCTCCTGTCTTGGCCTCCCAAAGTGCTGGGATTATAGGCATGAGCCACTGTGCCTGGCCAGAAATACTTTTTAAACATGGCATTGCTTATGTACTAATCATAAAATGTACTAATCATAAAGAGAAAAATTTTAAAATTCAAAGTTAAAATTTGAATTTTTGTTTATTAGAAAACACAAGACAGTCAAAATATAAAAGAAGAGTGGGAGAAGGTATTTGACACACACAAAACTGACAAGGGGCTCATGTCCAGAATATGTGAATCCATGAAGACAGAAGCCCAATAGAAAAATGTGCAAGAGTAGGCATAACATAAAAGGGGATATCCAAATGCCATTGTGATACATCTGAAAAGTTGTTCAACCTCATTAGTCACCACAGAAAAGCAAATTAAGCCACAAAGTGATACCAATTCAGACCCAACAGAAAGGCCAAAATGGAAGAGACTGACAATACTGAGGGTTGGTGAGTCTATGGAACGAGGGGAACACATACATTTTTGGTGGAGTATTAATTCATCCAATCATTTGGACAAACAGTTTGACATCGTCTGCTAAAGTCAAGAACAGGTAAAGTGTGGGTTGTATGGTGGGTTGAGTCAGCATTGTTGGAGCCAGTTCCGAGCAGCTCATGAGAGCGATTGTTAAAAGGGCTTCTGTGAGTGGGTCATTACATTATTGGTAGCTGGAAATTGGCCATGGTAGGAGTATTAACATCACAGATGTTAGCAAATGCTAATCAAGGCTTTCTTATTCAGTGAGCTGGTTTACAAACGCATCGCTATGTATGGCCCAGCAATTTCAATCCTGGTTAACATATCCAACAGCAAAAAAAGTGTTCTCTTATGTACAAAAAGACATGTAAAATAACGTTCTTAGCACCCAAAACTGTAAACAACCAAAAGCCTATCAATAGAATGGAGAAATGAATTGTGGTCTTGTCACACAATAGGCCATTATTTACCAATAAAAATGAGTGAACTACAGCTTTATGCAACAACATGGATGAAAATCACACACAAATTGCTGAAAGAAGCTGAACATTAAATTCTGTCTGTAGCTTGTCTTTTCATGCTCTTAGCGATCTTGAATAGCAGAAATTTTTAATTCCATTAATTCTTTGTACAATATACAAAAATTAACTCAAAGCGGATAATAGACCTAAGTGTAAAGATAAAAACTGTGAAACATCCAGAAGATATTGTAAGAGGAAATCACTGTGACTTTAGGTTAGACAAAAATTTCACAGATCTGACATCAAAAGCGTAATTCATAAAGAAAAAAAATCAAGTGTGCAGTCTGTTACCATTGGAGGGTCTTGACTACAAGTCGTCCAGTTTCTTGAAATTTTGAACAAATAACTGGACAAAGTGCACAAACAAAGCAACAAAAGAATGAAGCAATGAAAGCATAGATTTATTGAAATGAAAGTGCACCCCACAGAGTGGGACGGGGTTGAGGCATAGAGGCTCAAGAGCACTAGTTACAGAATTTTCTAGAGTTTAAATACTCTCTAGAGGTTTCCCACTGGTTATTTGGTTTACACCCTATGTAAATGAAGTAGTGGCCTGCAACCAGTCTGATTGGTCAACCAATCAGAGGCTAAAGTAAAGTTACAACGTTACACCCCATGCAAATGTCTGCTTGGTTGTGGGAGTGGACCAATCAGATGTACTTTCCATTTCTCATCTACAGTACAGAAAGTTGTGTGTTTGTGTGTGTGTGTGTGTGTGGCGGGGGAGGAGGGGGTTGCAAAGGGAGTAGCCTCTGTTCTTTTGTTACTTGGGCCTGAAAAGTTGGGGTTTTCCTTTTGATCTAGTTCTAGAAGTCAGTGCGAATCTACCTTAGGTTCCCTGCCTCCAGATCCTATTTTCCTGCCTCAGTTCTATTTAAAGTATGTTTGTTGTATTCTTACCAGGAGTCAGCTGTATTTTTCCCTCACTTGTTCATGTTGCTTGAAACTGGTTTGTAATGTGAAGTTATTGTTCAATTTTATATTATTTAAAGTAGTGAAATACGAGTGTGGAAAGAGAGGCATTTCTATAGAAACTAAGTTGAATGCATCAGAAAGATGGAATAAAGATTAATTAACAAGAGAATCATGCTGTTGAACTGAAGATGGGTAGATAATTGCAACAGATTGAAAGACATAAGCATTGAAAATAACTTTGCTCTCAGATTTTAAAAAACTCTCAATAAAAAATAATGTGCAGGAAATCATTGCAGATGCATTATGGGTGTGGTTTCTGAAAGAAAGTGTGTATGGAACATCTATCAATGAACTAATATTCAAAATAAAAGGGTTGATTCTATATCAAAGATTGCTAATAACTTTGCATTTACATGGTTTAAGTTAAAGTATTTAAGGTACTTAGGAGTAATTTGAATTTTAAGTTTTTGATTAACTCACTAACTGCTATCCCAATAGCCTCAGCTGGGAGGGCATCTACTATATACTAAATTATAGCTATATACCTTTTTATTCCACCATATATATCCTTTATATTAGTAAGATATATTTTTGCAGTATTTTCATTTTCATTATTATTTTAATTTATATTACATAGATATTTAATGTCTATGGAGCTGAATCTTTCAGTCTTTTCCTTTATGATTTATTTCTATTACCTCAGTTTACTAGGTTATTAATATGCAATATTGATAAATACCCAAGATTGTTCTCAACAGTTTTTATGTATTTCAGTTTAGGAAATTTTATTTAGTAGATATAGAGTTTATTTGGTGACCTATTTTTAAGAATTGCTTATTGGTCTATTTTGATATCATTTATTGATTGTTTTCCTAACGCATTTTTGGGTATACTTGACTGCATATTTTTAAAAATTTTAAATCTATAAAAATTTTTACAAAATTTTCTGTTAAGAATATGTGTAGGCTGGGTATGGTGGCTCACACCTTTTGGGAGCACTTTGATTGCTTGAGGCCAGGAGTTCAAGACCAGCCTGGGCAACGTAGCATGACCTTGTCTCTACAAAAAATAAAAATAAATTTTAAAATTAGCTGGACACCTGTAGTCCTAGCTACTTGTGAGGCTGAGACAGGAGAGTCACTTGAACCCAGGAGTTTGAGGCTGCAGTGAACTATGATTGTGCCACAGCACTCCAGCCGAGGTGACAGACTAAGACCATGTCTCTACTTTAAAAAAAAAAAAAAAAAAAAAGAGAGACCTTAGATTAATTATGTTTTTCCATTTTTTTAAAAAGAAAAAAAGTCAAGTTGCACCAAATTACGAACTATTCTTGTATGTAGTGATTCTCAACTAGGAGTGGTTTGTCCTCTAGAGGATATTTGGCAATGTCTGGAGATATTTTGGTTGTTACAACTTAGAGAGTGCTTCTGATATCTAGATAATAGAGGTCAGAGAGGCTGCTAAACATCCTACAATACACAGAACAGCCCTGACAACAAATAACTATTTGGCCAAAAACGTGAATAGTACTAGGGAAAAAACAACAACATAAAAACCCCACAAAAATCCCTTGTAAAGAACTAAACTAATAGAATGCCTTGAGAAAACTAGAGATATAAAAAACAAAAAAACCCCCAAAATTCAGAACTTAATGTTTAAAGCCAGAAGGCACAAATGAGTTTCCTATGGGAAAGAAGAGAAATAATATATACAGCATTGTTATTAGATAATTATGTACATTTAGAAAACGAATGTAGTTATGTGCACTGAACTGCCCTCTACAATCTTTCACTTAAAAGGTCTGTGGGGTATTAAGAGGTTCTTGCTGGGAGCAAATTGACATATTGATTGAGTAAAATAGTCTTTGGGGAAATTTCTCAGAGGTTTGATATAAATGGTGGTTCCCAGGGCACGGGAAATATCTTGCAAGGTTTTCTTCAAGCGGAAGTCAGGCCTCAATATGTCAATGATCCGCTCAAAGCTACATAATCCATGCTTTTCATTCTCTGCCACACAGTAAAGTAATTTTTAACACTTGCTTTGTGTAATAAGCATTAGAGTTATCAGATTTCACCAATAAAAATCCAGGATGCCCAGTTAAATTTGATATGTATACTAAAAATGTATTTGTTATCTGAAATTCAAAATTAATTGGCCATCCTATATTTTATCTAGCAAACTTAATATGCATTTTTAGTTTTAATACCCAGAGAAATATTTTTATGTATTGATATTTTCCAGCATCTTTGCAGTGTCTTTATTTGAAGTAAAGTCTTAATTCATCTTTCTAGTCCTTACTCTCTGCTCTTCCTACCCCACAAGTTCCATGTAATTATCACAGAATAAAAACCCCAGATCCACTACTTTTCTCTATTTAAATATCGGTGTTTTTGGCAAAGACTCTAATTTGAAATATACTTCAAATTTGAATTTTGAGGTAAAAAATAATATTTCCCTATAAGAAGGATGAGCTCAGCTATGGTGTTAAGACGGTGAGGTGTGTTACTGACAGTAAAAACAAAGCAACAACAACAAAAACTACTATCTAAGAAAGCTCATAGAGAAAAGGAGGGGGGAACCAAACCATTCTCCGCAGGCCTGCCACTTGGCAGGGAACAGTGTTTCTCAAAATTCTCTTTGTACCACTTTTTCTCAGGATCACATAAGACATTTAAATAGGAATTCCTGAGCCTGAATCAGAATCTACATTTTTAGCAGACGCTTCAGGTGAATCTTAATGCACACTGAACCTTAAATACCACTAGGCTAGGATTTTTCTGCTGTGCGTCTGTGCACATACTGACAGTTTTGAGAGGTATTAAAAATGAGTGGTTTCTTTAGCTTTAGACTTCATTTGGAAATACGGTTGTTGCTTCTTTTTTTTTTTGAGACAGGCTTGCCCAGGTTTTTTTTGAGCTCTGTTGCCCAGGCTGGAGTATAGTGGCGCTATCTTGGCTCACTTCAACCACCACCTCCCGGGTTCAAGAAATTCTCCTGTCTCAGCCTCCCAAGTAGCTGGGACTGCAGGCACCCACCACCATGCCCGGCTAATTTTTGTATTTTTAGTAGAGACGGGGTTTCACCATATTGGTCAGGCTGGTCTCAAATTCCTGACCTCAGGTGATCCACCCACCTCAGCCTCCCAAAGTGCTGGGATTACAGGTGTGAGCCACTGCACCTGGCCTGGTTAGTTGCTTCTTAAACCATGTCTATGAATTCTCATTTCTTCTCCACAACCCATACACACTCACTTTCCTACAGCATTTAATTTTGTTCATTCATTCATTCATTCATTCATTCACCATACTGATAAGTTCAAGCCTCTGTGACTCTTTTAAATGGAAATGTTATAAAAGTGTTATAAATAGAAACCTTATCATTACCTTCGTGAAGGACAGTGTCTTCATATTTTGCATTTCCATCATTCTCCACATTGTTGGGAGCCAAAAAGTATACTGCGTTGTTTTACTTATTTGTTGTGCTGTCACTTGTGACAAATATTTAATTTGTTACTAAATGACATTTATGGTTTTGAACTTGCTTGTTTCTGTGTCCGCCACATGCACTGAGGTCCCAGCATGCATTGACAATATGTGTGTATGCTTATCAAAGTGCCCTTGGGAAATGAAATAACATGTGAAACTCATTTGTTATTTTACAGCAAACTTCATAACATTCTCCCTGATTCTATCCTTTGGATAGATTTCTAGTTTATCTTATATGTGAGGAATGACCTTATAACCCGTGTGTGACAGTTGTTTGGATTTTATTAAGTGCCTTGCTAGCTGGTGATATAGGGGCATTACTCATAGATATTTGTTTGCTACCCCAGTAAGCCAAGAAAATTTATTTTTATATATTTAACTGTGGTGTCTTTCTTCTCCTGCATGTCATTTAAAAGCAGTTCATGAAATAAAGAGAATGCTGCCAATTCTGCCTTTAAATATGGGGAAAAGGGATGGATTGTCATCATGAGTCCCAGAGGTGAAAACTTTGTAATATCCACATCTTCCAGGACAAAGTCAGGTTGATGAAAATTAAATGTAAATTCAAACAGAAAAGAGTTTCATTCTCTTTCTATATGCAGAGGAGCAATCAGTTTCCTACCCTTATTCCCCAAACCCCCAGAATGCTTTCATGGAGCCATCCAAAGTTTCCCTCTCCAGAGAAGCAAGCCACTCCTATATAGCAGGGCGGGCTTTTCTTGCTACATTTTAAACAATGACATTTGAGTGGTCACTTCAAAGTTGTGGAGCAAAAATAGTCCAAGATCAAGACAATTCATTAGAGCTTCAAAGGCAAACTCTTGATAATCTATTGTCTTTTCATGTATTTTACTGAGACCCAAAGTAGGTGTTTTATGGGTGGATCTCACACTGTTGAATATATGAAAATTTTAATAAAACTGTATTATTTAATATCACCCTGCACACTGACACCAAAGCAAATATGATAATTATCCTTTCTTACAAAGGATTTGCACATTAAACCCCACTTCTTTGGCCGTTATATGTGGCATTTTGTTTAAGCACATGAGTAGGTGTAGAATGAATTATTTTTTGTACCAGGTTGGGGCTAGGAAGGAGCAGAGGTTCAGCTAGCTCTAGCACTGGATAATCCTTCTCCTGCCCAGGCCCTCTTCAATATTCAGCTGGATCCAAAGATGCATGGGGTGACTTGCCTTTGTCCTTCCATTGGTTTGTTCTTATTCACAGAGATGTGTGGAAGCAAGGGATAGCAGAAAATGGTCACTGAGTGTGGTGATGGGGAATGCTGAAGGGGCACTGTACTTAGACATTAACAGCAAGATTTTCGCCTCAGACAGCTTTGCAAACTTGGACAAATTTCTCAGTTTCTCGGAGCCTCAGTTTCATAATACTAAAATGGAGGCAATAATACCAAAGATGTGTTGTGAAAATTGAATTAAAGGCAAATTGTTTGTAATAACACAAAATTGGAAACAATGCAGATGGACATTGACAGGGTTGCAGTTGGGCAAACCATGCTATGTCCCCCAGTGGAACAGTATGTCGCTGTAGCTAAGGCACGGCTTTGAAGTGAATGCAAACAGAAACAAATGAACCCAGTTCTATGCCAAATTGGAACCATAACCATACAGAGAGAAAATCATAATTTCAAACAATTTTAGAACTCTGCATACATTTATTGGTATGTAAGAACAAAAATAAAGAAGCAAAACAGTAAAAATATTAAACTTCAGTCAGTTTTACTATTAGTATTGACATAATTATTTTGAAACTGTGTTTATTGCTGTTGTAGTGTAGAGCAAGAGTGATATAATGTTAGGAAACAAAATTCGAAGTGTAAGAGAAGGGACATAAGTATAAAAATCAAAGAAATGAAATAAACTTGAAATGATCAATTTTAATAGGAAATATTGATATGCACCCATGATGTGAAAAATATGTAGTTTTTAGCTTTGCCCACTGATGAAAACCTAGAATCACTGATACTTCAGGAACATTGAAGCTCTTAGTGCCCACATTTCGGTTTCTAAATACCTTTGATACTAAAAAATTCTTGGAGAAAGAGTTGTTTCCAAGTTTAGGATATTCTGTACCAGAAAGTGAGAAAGTAATCAACAAAAGCATATTCAAAGGACATGGGGACCAATTTGAAAGGACCACAGCTGACCGAATTTGAAATTTTGATCATAACAAATAATGCAATGAAGTGAAAGTCATTGAATATATAAAAATTCACAAGTGCATATTGATACTAACAGCAACAACAAAAAAGCAAAAGAATAAACCAGGCCGGGCGCGGTGGCTCACGCCTGTAATCCCAGCACATTGGGAGGCTGAGGCCGGTGGATCACGAGGTCAGGAGATTGAGACCATCCTGGCTAACACGGGGAAACCCCATCTCTACTAAAAAAAGAAAATAATAATAATAATAATAAGCCGGGCATGGTGGTGGGCGCCTGTAGTACCAGCTACTCGGGAGGCTGAGGCAAGAGAATGGCGTGAACCCGGGAGGCGGAGCTTGCAGTGACCCGAGATCGCGCCACTGCACTCCAGCCTGGGGGACAGAGAGAGACTCCGTCTCAAAAAAAAAAAAAAAAAAAAAAAAAAAAAGAATAAGCCTTCACTTGCCACCATTGGAAAGTACTATTAAATCAACGTCTTTCGAAGTTGGTAATTAAAAGGAAAGAATTAAGTATTTATCCTCCCTTTTCGTAGGACTGTAGTTCAGGGTCAGCAAATAGATCTATTGATGAGGAAACTTTACAGAAGAATGCCACCTGAAATGCAGAAGGAATTATGTAGCTTTAAAAATCATTGTTAACCCTCTAATAAACTATTTGATTCAAGCAATCATTATCAATGGATGCTAATCCATTAGGCAAATGATTTCAGGTAATACCAGTCAACCTGTAGATGGCTTGCTAATCACAAAGGGCCTCCTAATGTGATGTGATGTGCAGTATACAGCATCCCTTAGAATATATTCTTGCCAAATGTGTTTAACTTGAATTCACTACCTATTCACAAAAAAATACTGGAGCTAGAGGAAGTAGTACAATGATACCAGGAAAAAACTGAAAAAGTCTGGACTGGGGGACACTCATCAGATAACTGGTTTGATCTAAACTTCTTGATGGTTAAACAGCTGGGGAAGCAGACTCTCATGATTGGGGATACCACTGTGAAGGTGATTCATTGTAATTCCTAGGCTTATGTATCCTGGGCTTGTTTCCTGTAACATGCTAGTTTACGAGACACATGGGTTGCCATAGTCAAATAACGGAAGTACCCCAAAGTGGAACTCACATCAAGCATATTAAGCATTTAATTTTAAAATAATGGAAACCAGAATATATTGAATTTGCCAGCTACACCCTATTTTTTAAAAAGTACTATTTTGGTTAACATATTCACAATTTAGATATGGTTATAGAAGGATAATTATTTTGTCAAAACAACCTAAATATACACAAATATCTGTTGAATTTATGTATTGGTAAGATATGAAAAAATGTAAAACATTTAGTAAATGTTTGGTTATTATTCTGTGAATGTTGAGTCTTGTCATCATTACAATAGCAGGGCTTTAATAAAATTAGGCTTTGTCTTCATATTCTTTCTTAAAAATTTAGTTTCTTTAATAATAATATTATATAACAATGAAACAATATATATAAAATATTAATGTTTGTATTTTTATCATAAAATTTATACATGTGCATTATTATCCGCAGTGGATTTTAGGCCACATGCCTTCATGGTTTTTCACATGAAAATATTTCCCCTAACACTTTTAAAATGTAGAATTCTATCTTCTGAGTTGTCCAAGTGTCAGTAACCCTTGTTTTGTATGTCTGTGTATATGACACATTTTCTTAAAATAAAAATTTGTTCTTGACTGAAACAAAATCTCTGGGCCCCAAGAATTGCAATTATAAATACATTTCTAAGGATGGATGTCTAAACAATCGTGATAATTTTAAATGAAGCCTAACTAATAGGAACTATTACGATTTCAAATGAGTTGACTATAAAAGGAGACAGGACAATAAATGAGATCCATATTAATGAACGTACAGTGATAAGGCTACTATCGCCAACAAAAGTCAACTTCATGCACATCAAGCTTGCGGCTGATTTATATTTCATGCCCTTTATTAACTGATATCTAATGAGAATTATTCACATTTTTCACTGTACCACATCAAATTCTTCTAATAAATATCTGCTCTGTTTTGCATGTGAGTTGCACCATTTCATAAAATTTTCAGCCACCTTTGACTCGCTAAATAAAGTCGTCACTCAAACCTCATTTCCTGTTTGAGCACAGGGAAGCCGAATGGACACTGAGTTAATTTTGCATATTGTCTCCACTTGATGAAGTCTCCAAGAGATCTTTGTCCTGTCACCTTTAATGGACTCTGTCTAATGGACTCATTAGTGAATTTCTTATCATTTTTAGGAGAAAGATGCAATCTCACAAAGCTGTCCTTCATGCTTTTGGAAATTATTATAATTTATTCTTTAAACACATTCAAAAATTAGAATGAGGAGACTCTACTTTATGTTGGTACCATAATATTGTAACAATGACATGTTGATTACAACGAGGGGTCCAAGAATGCTATTTCATGCTGATTATTCATATTATATTCAAAACTAGTAGTTACAGTGAACAACACTCTTCAACTCAATAGCTGAATATTACACCATACTCAGAAAATTTGCAGCTGGGAAAATGGAGATTTTCCTGGCTTCATTTATCTATAAGTGCAGAAAAACCAATAATAAATGATTTCTTGATACCATGCAAATCTCCCGAAGTTCATGCTATGGAGATTTAGGTTTTAACATTAGTTTTCGTTGCAATCCTGTAATGAGTACTCATTTGTTATCTTGCACTGCATCCTTCGTTCTTTGTCTCTTTCCCTCCGTTTTATGTGTTACTTTGGTTAATAAAATTCACATAGATGAATGGTAGGGGGGAATAAGATGGATTTTAGACAAGTATTTAATTCTGAAAAATCTGAAGAGCTTACTATTTTTATTGTGTTCTTATACCCTTAAGTAGTTTGTAATACCTTGCCACTCATATGCCAATCATCTGAGAATTTTTGCTAAAATTTTATCTGGCTATTTTTTTGAACTCCAACTTTTTAACGACTATTGCTTTCATATTTAATAAGAAAAAATGTCCAATGTCAGTACTCTTGGTAATTCTAGCACATTGTTCTTTTGCTTAAAAACATCCTTTGACTTTTCACTGGTAATTGTCTGACTCCAGTGTGTAATGAGGCCAGCTTGGGAAGTGGAGACACAGAAGGTAACTGCTTTGTAACCTAAGGTAGGGTGTGTGTGTGTGTGTGTGTGTGTGTGTGTGTGTAGGGTGAGAGTGGTGAGAGGAGGGCATAAAGCTCTTTCCAGAGATTATGGTGAACAGAACCAGAAGGCATATACCCAAAGTCAAGGAGATCAGTGTGGTGTCTGAGTCATGAGATGAGGCAAGTTGTTGATACAAAGGGCAGCCTGAGAGAATGAGGTAGTAATGTCTGGACTTTCCAGGGTCCTGGAATTATCCTCAGTGGGCAATGAGGTTATAGTTTGGAGAAATTCCAGAGACGAAAGTGCAAAGCCTACAACGCCTATTTTTGTTTGTCTATTTGTTTAATATTTGGTTCACACCACTGCCTGAACAAACTCTCTAAAGGGGATTTCCGAGAACTGTCATTGGGATAGGTTCTTTAACAACTTGCCCTTATAACCTCTCCTCATGTTAACAGAATTTTTCAACTTCCTGCTGTCCACTAAAGATGTTTAGTTTCTTCTCGTTTGTGAGTCTTTGAATGCAGTACTGTCTCTGCCTAGAATAGTTCTCCCCTTTTTATTTGTCTGGCAAACTTTTTTTCCTTTTCCTTCATGATGCAATTCACATGGCACCTCATCTATGAGACTTTCCCTAATAAAATCTTCCGCAACTCCATGTCAAGAGTTACTCATTCTGGTATGTTAAGCACTCTATTTGAGTACTTAACTTTCTCTCTTCAAAGGTGTTAATTATTATCATTTGGAGAGGTCATCAGGGTTAACCAAGGCTCAGTATCTCTTGACAACCAGCATGGTTAACAGACCTATTACATTCCCAGCATCCTTGGTTTTTCTACTAATATGAAGGTGGGGGGAGGTGCAGAAAACAAAATGTGAAGGAATGTTGCGAATTTTAGCCCTGTTAATTGGTATTGTTATTTTATTATGTCTTTTGTCACACTAATACATGTGTGCTGCCTTTCCTAAATGGAAAGGACTCTGCCATAAATTTTAGAACAATTTTTGAGCAGCTGAAATGTTTATTGTATTCAGTGTTTATGCAGTGCTCACTGTAGGGAGTGTGAATGCAAAGAAGGAAAGGCACACACCACCATCTGGTAGGCAGAAAAGCCTGTGATGAGATGGTAGTGAGCAGAGGCAGCATCTGAAAAGGAGGAGGAATGGAAAGAGCGTACATTAGGACAGTTGAAAAGTAAAACTGTGGACAAATTAATGATTATGGGTGCTTTTAATGCTGATAGTAAAAGTAAACGCCTTTGGTGAAAATGAGAAGGTGTTGCCTGGTAGAGAGATCTATGCCATCTAGAAATCTATGCACAGCAAGGTCTTTTTAGCTGTTTAAGTGGTAATAAAATTGAATTGAACCAGTAATTCATGCCCCGAGAAAATTTCCATGCCTTTCCCTCAAATTCCTGACAAATATCGAGGCAAGGAAAAGTTTATTCTCATCATCCGTTTGGCTTTCATTATCGGTCTCCACAGAATCCTTGTTTTCTTGTATGCCTTCTGCATGTTTTTATTCCTGCTTTGTCAATAGGGCAAATATAGGACTTAGTCCTTCATTTATTTCTTTGGCAAAAACAACAACAACCAACAACACTTTCAGGAGACATGCAAGCATCAGAGTTTACTGAAGTTTTGGAGAGGTGTCAGATTTACTTCTTAGTAATGCAAAGAACTTTAAATGTTAATCATTCCTGATCTTAAATGTCATTCAAACTCTCTACCGCATTTTTAATTGTTTACCTCTTCTTTCTCCCCTCTTCTATTTTTTCTTCATTCAAAATCCACCCTCAAATTCCCTGATTATTCATCATGAAAATAAATTTAGCTGTGTCCATTATTGCTTTGTTTACTGTTAACGCATGCTTTGTGAGTCTCAATTTCTATCCTTAAGGCTAACAAAGATAGTTCCTCTCTAAAATGAATTCTAGCACTACCATTATAAAATATTAATTTTGGCTGGGTGTGGAGGGTCATGTCTGTAATCCCAATGCTTTGGGAGACTGAGGTGGGAAGATTGCTTGAAGCCAGGAGTTTGTGAGAACAATGTGGGCAACAAAGCAAAACCCCATCTCTACAAAAAATTAAAGAAAAAAAAATAGCCAGGTGTAGTGGCATGCACCTATTCCCAGCTACTAGAGAAGCTGAAGCAGGAGTATCATTTGAGCCTAGAAGTTTAAGGTTGCAGTGAGCTAAATCATCCCACCGCACTCCAGCTTGGGAGACAGAGCAAGATTCTATCTCTTAAAAATAAAAAAGAAATCTAGAGAATGCCATTCTGGACACTGGCTATTTAAAGAGCTTCTGCACAGCAAAAGAAACCACCAGCAGAGTGAACAGACAACCTACAGAATGGGAGAAAATTTTTGCCAGCTATGCATCTGACAAAGGTCTAATATCCCACATCTATAAGGAACTTAAACAAATTTACAGGAAAAAAACAAACAACTCTATTAAAAAGTTGGCAAAGGACACAGACACTTCTCAAAAGAAGACATACATGTGGCCAAAAATCATATGAATAAAAGCTCAACATCACTGATCATTAGAGAAATGCAAATCAAAACCATGATGAGATACCATCTCACATCAGTCAGAATGGCTATTAGTAAAAAGTCAAAATCTAACAGAGTGGCTGGGTGCAGTGGCTCATGCCTGTAATCCCAACACTTTGGGAGGCTGAGGCAGGTGGATCACTTGAGGCCAGGAGTTCAAGACCAGCCTGGCCAATATGGCGAATCCCCATCTGTACTAAAAAATACAAAAATTAGCCAGGCGTGGTGGCACATGCCTGTAATCCCAGCTACTCGAGAGGCTGAGGCAGGAAAATTGCTTGAACTCAGGAGGCAAAGGTTGCAGTGAGCTGAGATCGCGCCACTGCACTCCAGCCTGGGCAATAGAGCTAGGCTCTTCTCAAAACAAAACTAACACATGCTGGTGAGGCTGTGGAGATAGGGGAATGCTTATGCTCTGTTGATGGGAATACAAAGTAGTTCAGCCCCCGCAGAAAGCATTTTGGACATTTTTTAAAGAACTTGAAACAGAACTACCATTCCACCCGCAATCCCATTAGTGGGTATATATGCAAAGGAAAATAAATTGTTCTACCAAAAGGACAGATGCACTCTTATGTTCTTCATAGCGCTATTCACAATAGCAAAGACCTGAAGTCAACCCAGGTGCCCACTGGTGGTGGATTGGATAAAGAAAATGTACATATACACCATGGAATACTACACAGCCATAGAAGAAAGGAATAATGTCTTTTGCAGCAACATGGATGCAGCTGGAGGCCATTATCCTAAGTGAATTAATGCAGGAGCATAAAACCTGATACTGCATGTTCTCACTTATAAATGGGAACTAAACACTGGGTACTCATGGACATAAAGATAAGAATAACAGACACTTGAGACTGCTAGAGTGGGGAGGGTGGGAGGTGAGAAGGACTGAAAAACTGCTTATTGTGTACTATGCTTACTACCTGGGTGATAGGATGGATCATTCATACTTCAAACCTCAACATTATGCAACATACCCATGTAGCAAACCTGCATATGTATCTCCTTAATTTAAAATAAAAGTTAAAATTATATTAAAAAAATACTAATTTTTGCCCCAGTAGAAATAGAAGGAAAATAGATAACTGAGTTTCATTCTTTTCTTTTAGGATCCTTATTCAACAAATATTTTAGTCTTTGCTGAGTCAGCAACTATGCTAGATGCAAAGATGGAAAATAGGAAAAACGTATTCCCTGACATCATGGAATATTCTAAAAGGTAGAATTTACAAGGACTAGCATGCAATTAAAAGTTGCCAGGGTTGCAAAGAACCAGAAATATATAGCCCATAATTAGGTGAAAAATCAGTCAATCTGTTCCAGAAATGAAAGATATGAATGAATCTGTAGCTGAAGCTATTAAAAAGAATTCTGTGTTTC
Organism: Homo sapiens; assembly: GCF_000001405.40. Taxonomy (NCBI): domain Eukaryota; kingdom Metazoa; phylum Chordata; class Mammalia; order Primates; family Hominidae; genus Homo; species Homo sapiens. The sequence goes on along the minus strand of NC_000012.12, from coordinate 41,706,348 downwards.
ATACATTCAAGAAACTAGCAGAAAGATTTAACACATGTTGAGACATGGGACATAAAAAACAGGCTCAACATTTTATAGATGAAAGCTATGTCTGAGACGAAATATACATGGATGGAATAAGAGGCAGATTAAATCCTCAAGAAGGAAATATTAGTGAACTTTAAGAAATGGCAACAGAAACTATCCAAAATAAAACACAGAGAGAAAAAGGACTAAAAAAAAATTGAACAGACTGTCTGAGCGTGGTGGCTCACACCTGTAATCCCAGCACTTTGGGAGGCCGAGTCGGGCGGATCACCAGGTCAAGAGATCGAGACCATCCTGGCCAACATGGTGAAACCCCGTCTCTACTAAAAATACAAAAATTACCTGGGTGTGGTGGCGCATGCCTGTAGTCCCAGCTACTTGGGAGGCTGAGGCAGGAGAATTGCTTGAACCTGGGAGGCAGAGGTTGCAGTGGGCCGAGATCGTGACATTGCACTCCAGCCTGACGAAAGAGTGAGGCTCTGTCTGAAAATAAATAAATAAATAAATGAATGAATAAATAAATAAATAAATAAATAAATTGAACAGACCATTAGTGATGAGCTTGAGAGAACCTTAAGCAGTCACATACACATGTATTTTGAGTACATGAAGGAGATGCAAGAGACAGATGCGGCCAAAAAATTTTGAAGAATAATGGCCAAAAATGTTCAAATTTGATAAAAAGGTAAACTGACTGTTTAAGGAAGGTCACCAAACCTGAAGCACAAGGATCATGAAGAAAACTACACTGATACTTCATAATCAAATGATTTAAAACTAATTATAATGAGAGAATCTTAGAAACAGCCAGAGGAAAAAAGGCACTTTATGTAGACAGAAACAATGGCAGCAGTTTTCCTGTGAAAGGGCACAAGCTAGAAGACTGCAGTGCATCATTAAAATAAAGAAAAGAAAAACCTGTCAAACTAGAATTTTCTATTTAGTAAAAATATTTATCAAAAATGAAGGCAACCACTCTTAAGAATAGGCACAAGAGAAATAAAACATACATCTGCACAGAGACCTGTACAGAAATGTTCATGGGAATATTCTTTACAATAACTGAAGACTGTAAACAACCCAAATGTTTATTAACTAGTGACTGAGAAAATCAGACAAGGTATATGCATATGATGAAATAATATTCTGCGCCTGGGTGCAGTGGCTCACGCCTGTAATCCCAGCACTTTGGGAGGCCGAGGCAGGTGGATCACCTGAGGTCAGGAGTTCGAGACCAGCTGGCCAACATGGCAAAACCCCATCTCTACCAAAAATACAAAAAATTAGCCAGGCGCGGTGGTGGTGGGCACCTCTAATCCCAGCTACTCTCGAGGCTGAGGAGGGAAAATTGCTTAAACCTGGGGGGGCGAAGGTTGCAGTGAGCTGAGATCACGCCACTGCACTCCAGCCTGGGTGACAGAGTAAGACTCTGTCTCAAATAAAGAAAGAAAGAAAGAAAGAAAGAAATAATATCCTGAAGTTAAAGGGCATAGGGCATGAACTACATTTATACACTTCAATATGGAGTACTCTCAAAAACATTATGCTCTGTGAAAGAAGGCAGATACAAAAGATTATATATTGTGGAATTTCATTTTTATAAGCTGTAGAGAAAGGGCAAATTTATAAAGAAAGCAGATCAGTTGTTGCCTAGGACTAGGGTTTGGACTTGGATTAACTGTAATAAAGAATGATGGCACTTTTGGAGTGACGGAAATGTTCAAAACTGGATTTTAGAATGGTTGCACAGTTACATAAATTTACTAAAATTATTGAATTTTGTATTTATAATGGTTGAATTTTATGGTATGTAAATTATACCTCGATAAAGCTGTTTAGAAAATGAAGGTGATGTTAGGATGGCTATTACCCCCTCACCCAAAAAAAAAGATAAGTTTTGGCAAGGCTGTGGGGAAACTGGGAACCTTGTATGCACTATTGGAAAGAAGGTAAAATGCAGCAGTTCTTACGGGAAACAGCAAAATTAAAAATAGAATTATCTTATGATCCAGCACTTCCACTTCGAGTTACATATCTAAAAGTCTTGAGATCAAGATCTCAAAGACATATATGACTCCCGTGCTCATTGTAGCATTATTCACAATAGCCAAGATATGGGAACAACCTAAAAGTACATCAATGGATAAATGGATAAAGACAACATGGAATATTATTCAGTCTTAAAAGACAAGAAAATCCTTCCTGTGCTACAACGTGGATGAAATCCATCCATATGCTATGACATGGATGAACATGAAGGACATTATGCTAAGTGAAATAAGCCAGTCACAGAAGGAAAAATAATGATTGATTCTACTTATATGGGGTATCTAAAATAGTCAATCTCATAGAAATGGAAAGTAGAATGGTGCTTGTCAAGGGATGATGTAAGGTGAAGGAGGCAGTTGCTGTTCAATGGGTATAAAGTTAGGCAAAATAAGTTCTAGAGATCAGTCGTGCAGTGTGCCTGTGGTTAGCAATCTGTATGTATTGTACACTTAAAAAATTGTCCTGCCTGTTTCTTTAATGTAATTAGAGGGGATGGGATCTGTTTTCCTCAAACATACCATTCTCTGAGTTCTGTTTTTCTTCCAAGAACTTTAAAATGCTTGATTTTAAAAGCTATGAAACATTACAAAAGTGCATGCATGCATCTTTGTTATATGTTGAAAAACACTGGTTTAATGACTGGTTAATTTGATGCTTTACAGTGACTAGCAAAATGACTTAAAACATTTCCCCTGAGTAAATACCAGGAATGGGATGGCAGAGACATATGGTAGGTTATACATCTAACTTTATAGGAAACTATGAAGCAGTTTTTCAAACTGGTTATACTATTTTACATTCCCACCAGCAATATATGAAAGTTCCAGTTATTGGAATAAATGACATGAAAACTTTAAACGGCCAGATGGTTTAAATAGAGATGTACATATACACACACACACATATTTACAACCGGTGGAAAAACTTAAAAATTCAATGCTGTATATGATGTTGTATATTAAGCGCATCAGTCACTTTAGGAAGTGCTAGTTTGGTTAACTGGAGTAAGGAATTCGGTGACCAGTCACATTAATACAGCAAGTGGAAGGTGATGGGAATTAAAATTATGACAGCTGGACTAGAAAAGACCAGGAAGAAAAAAATAGGAAACTCTAGAAATAACCCGAAGGATGGAACTAATTTGATGTGGGATACAAGGAGGGGAAGGAATGAAAAATAATTCTGAGATTTGGGGCTATGGCACCTAAAAGAGGTATTTATAATGTCAAGAAATATCAGGAGGAGATTGTTTGAGGGCAAGACGGGAGAAACAGACACATATTGTTCAGAGTATTTTATTAAACAGATACATATTGTTTATAGTGTTTTAATAAAGATTTATAGCTGGCAGGCCTGGAGCTTAGAAGAGAACGTAGGGTGAGAGACGCAGATTTGGGGAGTCATGTCCACAGTGCTATGGTGGAAGAGGTGAGAAGTTGTTGAGATCACACAGGGAAAAATGTGGAGAACTGAGCTATATGACAGAGCATTAAGTAACACTTATATTTATGAAACTAGAGGAAAAGCAACCACAGCAAGAGACAGCAAAGAGAAAAAAGAAAGAAAACTAGGACGGTAGGCTCCTTGGGGATCTAAGGAAGGAGAAAAATCAAGTTAACTCTATGCTTTAGAACGCTATTTTTAATATGCTCCGCAAAATGATTTGATGGAAAACAATACAATTCATGAATTTGATATTCAGTAGCATTTTTTTAAAGTT